>NC_000005.10:176663997-176814443 GCF_000001405.40 Homo sapiens | reverse complement strand
TGGCACCACGCTTTGCAAGGCAAAGGAGCTACAGTCTGGAAGCCGGAGCTTGCCTGGGGGTGCCCACCCCACCAGCAGTCAGAGCCAGGGAGGGCACCCGACCTCCAGATAGACCAGCCCAGAGCTGATGTGGGGCGATGACGAGGGAGGAAGGTATTTTCCTAAGGGCCCAAGGGGGCTCAAGGTTTGGGTTGACCTGCAGGCACTGGGAGTCACCGAAAGCTTTCTAGCAGATTTCCAGCCTGGATGCCAGGGGATGCCTTAGTCTGAGTGGAGGAGGCCCGAGGGGGATGGGTGGTGGTGGCTGCTGCAGGTGAGGGAGAAAGGAGTGGAGGAAGACAAAGAAGTCGAGAGACATGAGCAATGCCACAAGTAGGCCCGAGCTGGAGGACTTGGTGACATATTAGATGTGAAGCGTGAGAGAGAAGGGAGAAGCAAGGGAGACGCTAAGGCTTCCAGCCCCAGGCTGGGAGAATAGGAGGAGGGGACGGCAGGGCCCTTGGGAGGAGGGGGCATTGGGAGAGGGGTGGCCTAGAACAGGAGGCCCCGCATGCATATGCGTGGACACACAGATTCCCAAGTGGCAGCTAGGCCCAGCACTAGAGCAGGGGAGCCCCACCCCAAGCTCAGGGCAGGCTCCTGCCTTGTGAAGCCTCGGAGCTCCAGCCTGCGGGTCTGGGCCCAGAGCAGCACTAGGCAGGAAGAAGGGTCGTGAGGACAGGGGCTCTCTGGCCCTTGGCTGAGGCCAAAGTTGGCTGCTCCTGGGAACGAGGGCCGTGACTTCTGGTGTGGGCTTGGTACCTGGATCAATGCCTATCCCTGGTTCCTGAGAGAAGCCCCCCCTCCCAACACAGGCAAGTGGGGAGCAGGCAGGCAGCAAGAGGACCAGCTCTCCCCTGGGAGGACCTAGGGGCCCCAAAGCCCAGGCCACCCCACCTGCAAGGCAGGGCGAGCAGGAACAGGGTATCTCCTAGCCCTGGAGGATTAAGACCCCCTCAGCCAGCTGCATTCTCCCAAGTGTCGGGGTGGACAGACGAGTCCTAGGTTAGCCCTAAGTATGGGGATGGGGTCTGAGAAGGAGGAGCCAGGCTAGATGGTTGGGGTCAGGTTGGGCAATGCAGCAATGCCAGAGCATGGCACCCCTCAGCCCCATCTTCAAGGGAGCCAGCTCCCAAGTCCCTCCTGCTCAAGACTGCAGAGGTCTGGGTGACAGGGAGACCACAGGGGCAGGGTGGGGGTTTGCATGCCAGCTGCGTGACGGGGTTTGAGAGGGAAAATCCTGTGAGACAGATGGGTGCTTGCGTGCGCGGGCACAGAGAGGGCCTGCAGGTGCGAGCATGCTGAAGGGACAGGCTTTTGTGTGATGTCCAGCAACAGAGGGTGGGCGCGTGGCCTGGGGAGCAAGCGGCTGCAGTCAGTCGCGCTGGCCCCCGGCGCCCCCTGCTGCCCGCTGGCCATCCCTCCCTCAGCGGCTCACAGACACATTTTTCACCGGAGGCTGTTGCAACGGAGGCAAAAGGCAGCGCGGGAGGAGCCCGGGTCACGGCAGGGCCAGCCTGCCTGGGCGTCCACATGTGCCCAGTGCCTGTGGGGCACAGGGGGAAGGGAGTCCCAAAGAAGTAGGGCCAGCCCCTCCCCACCCCATGGCCTTCAGCAGCTCCTCCCGCAGGCCCAGGGGCAGAGTTGATGCCTTGGGGCAGGCTCTGCGTCAGCCCCTGCAGCACCTGTGCCCACCTGCCGACTCCCTGGGCAACCTTGGGCCAGGCCTCAACAGATGCCCTGCCAACCAGGGATGCAGTTTCCCCACCCCCACAGCCTCCTGAGGAGTCCCTGTGGCAACCCCCCGCTCCAGGCCGCAGCACCCTGCTTCACCGGTACCTGTGCCCCCTTATCTGTACACGCTCACCTGTGCAACTGCACACAGCCGTCACACACGTGCGGCATGCTGGTCATCACACACGTTCATCAGGGCACACACATGCCAATGCTGCACACACCATGCCAACCCCCCTGGTTACCCGGGCACACATGTCAACCCACAGCCTTCACACGTGCTCACGTGGGCGACATGCAGCTATGACCACACAGCCCTCAAAAGCATCAACTCAGAAAACATTTCCAGGGTACCTACTGGGTGTCAGGCAACACCCCACCTGTGTGTGGGGCACTAATATCCCCACCTCATCATGGACAACAGTGCAACCTGCACCCGGGTGCTCATCTGCGGAGCTGCACACACGCCCCTAACACACACATGTGGCGGACACGGACACACACCCAACAGCAGTTCAGCCTCTCAGCTTGGTCAGGATTAGAAGGAGAGGCCCTGGGGAAGAAGAGGGGTGCTGATGGAGAAGGGAGATAGAAGGGGTGGGATGGAGTAGAGAGGGGTACTGAGGAGGCAGGATGGGGCGGGCGGTCAGGCAGTGGTGGGTGCAGGATGCGCTGCGCAGAGACACCCTTTAAGGAAACAGCCATCGGCCTCAATCATCAGGCTGGCTCCTGAGCTCCCACTCATTGATCTCTGATCAATCTGGTTTGGCAGCTCAGAAACCCCAGTGCTCCCTTCCAACACCCCTGTTATAAGCAGCGGCCTGGCCAGGCTGGGGAGTAACCGCCCAGGTTCTAGGGGCAGCAAGAATCGAGAATTGCCAGGGTAAGCCTCAAGCCCCCTTGACCACACAAATGGCACCCACCCCCCACCACCACAGACACATACGCTCAACTCAGCTAAGTGCATGGGGGGCAGAGATCAGGAGGCCCCCACAGCTCAGCCTAGGTGAAGGCTCAGGGACAGCAGACAAAGGATGCAGGGGAACTTCCTCCCCCCAAGCCCCTCCCAAGGGAATGAGGTGGGCTGAGGGCTGAGTTAGCAGTGGGTTAGGGTGACCAATGGGGCATGCAGGGGCCAAGAAAGGCTATGGAGTTTAAGGAAGAAGGGGAAACTGGCGGACCAACCACACACAACTCTGGCCCCCCGCACCAGGGAGGCCAGGAGCCACAGCCCCGGCCACCGGGACCGCGGCGCTTTGACTGTGCTGGCTGCAAGGACTGGGGGCTGGTGTATGCGCCTCCACGCCTGAGTGTGTGCGTGTGAGAGCGTGTGTGGCGGGGACAGAGGAGGACACTGTGTTCTGGACGTGGGCAGAGGCCAGGTGCCAAGCTGGGAGATTGTGAGTGGCTGTTTAGGGCAGATGCTACCGGGAAGAGGTATCTTAAACGTTCCCCGCACCCCCCATTTCCTGGGCACTGGGATAGGCTCAAAACCCTCTAATCTTCGAATCCTCAAAGTCAGGCTCCCTGGGGTTGATCCAAACCCCCAGCCCTGCTCCGGGCCCAGGCAACCAGCAAACTTCCCCCACCCGGAGGCGTGGGGTGTCTACACTCGCCAGCCCCGCGGGCTGACAGCTGCTCCTGGACTTGGCAGAACCCAGGCTTCCGGGAGAGCGCGCGGGGAAGCTGCGCAGCAGCAAGAAGAGCCCCCCGCGTCCCGCCTCGCAAAGTTTGGCCTCGGGGGGCTCCCAGCCGGGTCTGGCAGCGCTGGTCAGGGACCCCCAGAGCAGCGAGCGTTCGCGCGCACGGTCCCCCGCAAGCCTCCCCAGAGCGCGCGCGGCGTGACTCACCCGAGCCGCGGAGCCAAGCGGCGAGGACTATGCCCAGGAGCGCTGGCCACAGGCCGGGCCGGACGGCCATGGCCGCGGGCGGGCAGGCGGGCGGGCCGGGCGCGGGGCCCCGCGGGCGGGAGGGCGGCTTTAGCGCCTCAGCCCGGAGCCCCAGCTCGGGGCGCCCCCGGGGCCCATGCCAGCGGACTGCGCTGCCTCCGGGCGGCCGGCTGCCGGGCGCACGCGGCGCGTGGCTCCCTTGGGCACGGGAGCGCAGCAATGCAGCCGGGGCGGAGCGCAGCGCCAGCCGCGCCGCGCACCGAGCCAGCCGCGCCGCGGAGCCCGCAGCCGGAGAGCGGGCCGGTGGGCGCCGCAAAACCCGGACTGGAGCGACGGAGCGGGGCGGCGGCTGGGAGGGGCGGGGGAAGGAAGGAGGGGCCGGGCCGCCCCGCGCAGCGCGCGCGGGCCACCCCCAGCACCGGGAATCCCTCTGGGCGATGCCTGAGGCTCCCCCAGGGAGGGGCTTGGGGTGGTGGGCGTGGAGGCCTCCCACCGCCCCGCGGGGTCTCCAGGGACAGGGGCAGGAGTCTGAAACCCGGAGTGGATCGGTGCTCCGGATCCGGGCTCTCGCGGGCCCGCCAGTCTGCGCACAGGTGGCCCGGGAGGGGCCCGGGGCTGCGGCGACCCCGGCGCGGCGCCAGCCTGCGGAGAGCCGCCCAGGGCAGGGGTGCCCCGGGCAGGTTCCGCTGCAGTCCTCTCCCCCGCCCTTTCCTCGCGGCCGCGCTCCGGGGTCGTCCGGGCGCCGCGGTACGCTGCCAGCCCGCGGCTTGGTTAGGGGACTGCGGGAGAGCCCCGGGGCCCTGGCCCGCGCGCAGAGGTGCCCTGGCCACCAGAGCTGGCAGGCCAGACTCGGGGACACCCGCAGTCCCAGCCTCGCAGGCTGGTGGATTCCAGGGGCGCGCCTCACACCATGACCCAAGGTTTCCCTAACCCCTCGGCGCCGTTCGCCGAAGGAAAACAACCTTCAGGCGCAGCACACCCGACTGGGCGCGCGGTGTTTGAGCCCCGAGAGCGCACGGCGCCCGCGACGTGGGTGTAAAGGAACGAGCTGGGCTTTGGCAGCTAGGGAGACCGGGGGTAGGGTCCAGGCGACTTCACCTTCCAGCTCTGTGACCTTGGTCAAGTCACGTCGTCTCCTGGAGCCTCCAGCAGTGACCGCTGCTGGAGTCTCCTGTGCCCCACCCCCATTCCCTAATCGGGTTAAAATAAACAGAGGGCTGCCTTGAAGGAGAAAGGAAATGACAGCCGCGTGCGGTGTGCCTGGGGGGAGTGATCGGAAAAAGAGAGGGTCCTAGTCTGGGTCGGGAGGGGAATGAGCAGGGTGAGGGCAGGGTCGCAAACTCAAACGCCTACGGGGCCGGTCGATAATATAAATTGGCGCTGCAGGCTAGGCGATGTAAGGGATGGTCTTGCTTCCACAAAGAGATATGAGCTCTCCTATATTTCTTGAGACACGAGGCCCTCTCTCGGTCTGTCTTTTGTTTCCCACTTTTGATAGAGAAGGGTTATGAAAAATGTTTTGCTTTCCTCTTAAGTCTACTATAAAAAACACCAGCTAAAGCTCCAGAGGCAACCATACAGACGCTGGGCTCCATCGCCAGGGAGGCAAAGGGCAGTGCTGGGGACAGGCACAAGGATCCCATCTCAAGGGGCAGCTGCCTTTTCTGCTCCAGGTGCTGGTTGTCGGGGGAGGGGACCGGGGCACAGTATAGCCGCATCTTCCAAATTTTCAACAGAAGCCGTCGTATGTGAAATATTCTGATTTAAAATTTTTAACTAGTAAAAAATAATTTTTTAGACTTCATGTGAGCCCAGGGGAAAGTGTTCACCACCTTCTGGTTTGGGAACTTTGCTTTCGGGGCAGTTTGAATGTACACGGTGTCAGGGCCTGATCAACTCACATGTCTCGTGTGTGTGTGTGTGTGTGTGTGTGTGTGTGTGTGTAGGAGCAGTGTGTGCCCAGGCTGCTCCTGTTGGCACCATAACACCCCTCTTCAGCCTCTGCAGGAAAGAGGTGGGTGGGAGAGGAGAGTCAGTGGCAGGATCTGCCCTTGGGGCCCACTGGGGATTGGGCACTGGAGGCTGGTGGCTGAGGATGAAGGAAGAGGATTGAGGGCTGGGGTATAAGATGACATTATAATAGTGTATGCTCTGTCTAAAGGGATGGCCGGGTGTGGTGGGTCACACCGTAATCCCAGCACTTTGGGAGGCTGAGGTGGGTGGATCGCTTGAGGTCAGGGGTTTGAGACCAGCCTGGCCAACATGGCGAAACACCATCTCTACTAAAAATACACACACACACACACACACACACACACACACACACACACACAGCCAGATGTGGTGGTGGGCACCTGTAATCCCAGATACTCAGGAGGCTGAGCCAGGGAGAATTGCTTTAACCTGGGAGGCGGACGTTGCAGTGAGCCAAGATCATGCCACTGCACTCCAGCCTGGGCGACAAAGCAAGACTCCGTCTCAAAAAAAAAAAAAAAAAAAGTATGCTGGACACCACTATGTCCTTGCATACATTTATAATTTGGCTTGATCCTCACATGCAGTCCTGTTAAAGAAACATTATTATTCCCATTATGCAGATGCAGTAGCTGAGGCGTAGGGAGAGGAAGTGCCTGATTGCTCAGGGCCAACCTTATCCAATAGACTGCAGGGTTAGCTAAGATGCATCCTTGGGAGGTTTGGTTTCAACGTCCGTGTCCTCATCTTTTCTCCTGCTACAGTTTCTACTCTGGGATTTGAATTTGGGAAATGAGGTTTGAGATACAGGAAAGGAAGGGTCTTTTCTGCTCAGTTGGCTGCTTTGTTCACTTCTCTTCTTGCCCCTCTCTCTTCAGCCAGAATGGAATGGTCTATGTAAGAGTCAGGATAGATTAGGGGATGTCGTAACAAATAGTCCCCAAATCTCAGTGACTTAAATCAACAAAGGTTTGTTTCTCATTTGTCCATCATGGGTCTATGACTCCAGGTCACCCTCACTTGAGGACCCAGCCTGACAGCAGCCATTCCAGAGGTGCACCCACCAGCCATCAATCGCTCAGCCCAGACACAATGGATCATGTCTGGTCACAATCCATTGGCCAGAACTGGCCCCACAGTCCCACCCAAGAGGGCCAGGAAGTATAATCCCACCTCGTGCCTGGAAGGCAGAGCTGAAATATGTGGAGAGTAGCATGAGTGCCTGCACAGCCTGTGGTCCCAGCAGAATCTGGCCCCTGCCTTCCTCTTCAACTCTGCCTAGGCCCTAGCCATAAGGCCCCTCAACCCCTCACTTTGTTTCTCCAGCATCCAAGCTCATCCCACCTCCAGGCCTTCCCATTTGCCTTTCTTCCTAGAATACTCTGTCCCCAGATCTTCACGTGGCTGGTTCCTTTTAGTCACCCGGGCCTCAGCTGAACTGTTCCCTTCCAAGTGATGCTCAGAGTCATGTCAGGAGAAGGAGGAGGGGTGCCCTTGTAGAGAGGGGGAGTAGGTGTCTCACTGGAACTCTTCTTAAGAATCCAGGGTGAAGGGCTGCCAGGAAAGGGTTTGTCTCAGACCCTAAGGTAGGATGGCCAGATGGGAAGAGGACTCCTGAGAGCTCCAGCCTCCTTTGCTTCTGTTACTCAGGCAAATTTTTCTTCAGAAGATGAAGTCTTGGTCTATCATGAATTTTCAGGGCAAACAGTTCTGCTTCAGATGCTGGCATGGCAGCAGGGCTCTGGGCCCCTGTCTCGCCACCCAGACACCCTGTAGGTGTTCCGTGGTGAGGCTGCTTCCTGAAGGCATCTCCTGAAGGGGTTGGCAGGTGTTCTGCCATCATGGCCTGATACACAAGAGGAGTCCTAATCAGCTGTTGGTCAGTGATATCGCACTGCTAATATCCCCTGGACCTGGGGAGCTCAGACCCTGTGCTGAGGCCATCACTGACTTGGACATGCACCGAAGTTCCTATGAGTTGCTTGGAGTATAAATTTCCATGTCCTGCCTATCCTAATTTTGATCCAGGATGTCTGGGGAGGGGTCTAGGAATCTGCTTTTACTGTGCCCTGTAAAACCTACAAGATGTTTCTGCTGCTGCCAGTGGTCTGAAGACGGATCACACTTTGATGGACATTGTCCTAGGTCTTTGCCTAGGTACTATCAACAACTGGGTGTTCCTCACCTACCCTTTAGGTCGCTGGTTTTCTGCAATTAAATGCAGACACTTAAATTCATCCCAATTATTTTCCATCGTATTACATCTAATCCCTCTTTCCCATATGGAGCCCTCTCAGGATGTGGGTGCTGTCAGGGAGGGTATTTGCTATTTTCTTCTGCTTCTGTCATTCCCAGATGACATTAGGAAGTCACATATACTTTCAACCAAGTCCTAACTAAACAGGTTGCTGCAGGCAGGACCAAGGACAGGGTCCAGAGGCTCCCAACTCGAGATCAACTTGCATATTGCACTAGGGCAATAAACCAGCTGCTCCTTTGTCCACTCAGGAAGCCTCTGACCACACCATCATTCAGCTCACATCTCACTGCTGCACCCACAAAAATAAATGGAAAGACTTAGCAGAGCCCTAGAATCATGAGCTTCCAGGTTTGCTCCAATCTACCAGACAAATAACCCAATTGATCAGGAAATTAGTTCAGCAAGCAGGACATGCTCTTGGAGACCCTTAAGCAAGACATTGGATTTTCTCTCTCTCTCTTTCTTTCTTTCTTTCTTTCTTTCCTTCTTTCCTTCCTTCCTTCCTTCCTTCCTTCCTTCCTTCCTCCTTCCTTCCTTCCTTCCTTCCTTCCTTCCTTCCTTCCTTCTTTCTTTCTTTCTTTCTTTCTTTCTTTCTTTCTTTCTTTCTTTCTTTCTTTCTTTCTTTCTTTCTTTCTTTCTTTTTGAGATTGGGTCTGGCTCTGTCACCCAGGCTGGAGTGCAGTGGCACTGTCTTGGCTTACTGCAACCTCTGCCTCCCAGGCTCAAGTGATCCCACCTCAGTCTCCCAAGTAGCTGGAACTACAGGCCCTTGTCACCATGCCCAGCATTTTTTTTTTTTTTTGGTAGAGAAGGGGTTTCACCATGTTGCCCAGGCTGGTCTTAAACTCCTAAGCTCAAGTCATCTGCCTGCCTCGGCCTCCCAAAGTGTTGGGATCACAGGCATGAGCCACCACACCTGGCCAAGACATTGGCTCTTTATGGTCCGTGCTATGGTCCAAGTGTTCACATCTGCCCACTGCTCAGCATCCAGCTTCTGTCTTTCCTTGGAAGGATCACCCCTCCCCACCATCAGCACACAAGATTCAGGTCGGACTATCCCCCTCCAATTCCAAAAGACAACAAATGCCCAGGCCCGGCCAATCAGCATCCACTATTCCCTGAAACACAATGATTGGTTCAGAGATGGGCATATGACCCAAGCCAGGCCATTGAGGCTCATTTCTGGGACTTTTGTTGGAACTAAGGAGAGAAAGAATTTCTTTTCTTGCTGTACTTGAAGCTGCAAAGAAATGACCTGATCTTGACAGCACTGCCACAATAAAAGGGCATGCCTGAGATTGAAGCTGGGGTGGAGAGGAGCAGAGCCTGGAGAAGAGAGGGTTGCAGAATCCTAGTTCATTGTTCAAGCCCTCAGATTCAGCTGCTTCTGAGGCTGCTGAAACCCCTGAATTCTTCAGTTAGATCAGCCAACGCATTCCCTTTTGAGCTGTTTAAGCCCATTTGCGGTTTTTGTCATTTATATTTGAAAACAAAATACAGGGCTGGGTGCTGTAGCTCACATCTGTAATCACAACATTTTGGGAGGCTGAAGGGGGAGGATTGCTGGAGGCCCTGAGTTCAAGGCCAGCTTGGGCAACATAGAGAGACCCTGTGTATTAAAACATTTTTCTAAATGATCTAGGCATGGTGGCATATGCCTGTTTTCTAGCTACTTGGAAGTCTGAGTGGGGAGGACTGGTCAAGCCTAGGAGTTTGAGGCTGCAATGAGATATGATAAGGCCACTGCACACTATCCTGGGTGACAGAACAAGATGCTATCTCTAAAAAAGGGAAAGAAAAAAGAAAAATAATATAGAATTATCCTTTATTAAGAATCTACAGGGTGAGCATTTATGACTGACTACTATTTGTAAGGCTCAATGATACCCACCGGGGGAACCTGCAGCATGTTGGGGAAGATACAAATGTCCTCCCAGTTGTAAGCTGGGGTGGAATGAGAGCCAGATCATAAAAGAAATGATTACTTTGTGAGGGATAAGACAGGAGATAGAACTAAAAATAAGCCCCTTCAAAGGACCCCTGGCAACATCTGGACCTGTCCCCTCTGCACACAAACCCCAACACTCACCTATGCTCTGAATCTAACACACACACACAGCAAGCCAGCACCTGCTCAGTCTCCACAGCGAACACAACACAAATGCACTTCCCACACCTAGCTCACACATGTGCATACTGGGTAACTGATGACACGCAGTACAGGCACTCATGTTCCTCGCAGTTACATACATGTACAGACACTTCCATATCTCCCCACTCCATTCCTGCACACACTGTTCACATGCCCATTCTCCATGCTGCCCCGTTCTACTGAGCACTTCATGCCTGGGCCTTAAGGCTGGTCTGGCCGTGCCTCGGCGCAAGAACTGGGATGTCACTGCCTTGGAGCCTCCAGGACCAAGGACAGCACCCAGCATTTCTTGAGAACTCTCCAGGTGCCCAGGACAGGACTAAACTCTGTACCTGGTTTATCTCCTTCAATTCTCACAGCCCGTTATGCAGTAGATGTGATTATTGTACCCATTATGTAGACACAAAAACTGTGGCACAGAGAGGGGTTGTAACTTGCTAAAAGCCACTCAGCTGGTAAGAGATGGAACAAGGATTTAAACCTAGAAGCTGCTCCAGAAATGTTTACTGAGTGATTGAAAGAATGTTCAGTCTAAATGGTTTTATTAGAGACACATCCTCCTATGATGCATGTGTTACACACACACGCGCGCACACACACATGCACGCACACGCACACACGCACACGCGCACACACACACACACGCACACACACGCATACACCCAGAAACAACCTTTCCCAGCTCCGTGAACTCCGTGACATCTGTCTCTGAGGTCTCCCTGGCTACACAGTCCCCTTTTCGAGTTTTCCTGCTGGGCACTCTCAGGCAGGTTGGGAGGTAAGCAGTTCCCTGCTGAGGGGCCTATGTGAAAAGGAGGGGGCGGAGGATTGTCAGGAAGGGGCAGGAGGAGCGGAGGAGGAGAAGGACGGGATTGGACCAAGTGGAAGCCTGGCACCGTGCCCTTTGCAGATGACCTGATGAGTATTTTGCAGAGTTAATTTCATTAGCGTCTCTGGGAGATGAACAATTAGCAAGATGCTCTGATGCCTTTAAAAGCTTAAGAGAAGGAGAAGCCTGCCTTTCTTGCTTCCCCACCAGACCGCAGCATCCCCCACCCCCACTCTTCTCCATCTCTGTGCCCATCTCCATCATTCATCCACCCTTGTCTGGTCTTCTCTCGTGCTCTCACGGCCTCAGAGCCACTTCTACCCTGCTCCATGGCCACCACACAGCCCCTCCCTCCCTCTTCCAGGCTCCCATCTCCCCTGCGGCCTCATGCTGGAGCTCTGCCCACACCGCATCAATTGGCCCCCTGTGTTCTGATCGCTCAGACACCCAGCACTGGGGCTTGGCACTGGCCCAGCCCTCCAAAGAGACACAGCTTTCTTTGGCATCCAAAGAAAGCTGGGCCAGGTAGGGGTTCTCTGGTTTTGATTGATTTTGCTACCAGGTCTCTGGCAACTTCCAGATGGGGTTCCAATGGGGATTGGAGCTCCCATACCAATCCCAGGGTGGGTCTAGTAGGCAGGACAGAGATAAGCTTTGACTCAGTGAACCGAGAGCTGGGAGAGGAGGCAGAAGTTTACCTCTGCCTTGCTTACCAGACCCACCCTGGGATTGGTATGGGAGCTCCAGTCTATTGGAGAAGGTTGGGACCCACAGAAGGGAGGCCCAGGTTTGTGTGTGGGGCATCTGCGGCTTTATCAAACAGGTGGAAAATGGGACTCCAGACATTCTGGGGCAGTGTTTGTCCCAGACACCCGCTGCATGACCGTGGTCCTGAGAACACACCCTCATACTGCATCCTCCATGCTCTAAGTCAGTGGGAAGGGTTCTGGTCCAGCCACCAGCCTCTCGCAAGCCACCTTTGGGCAGCCCTGGGGTAGTGCTGGCATAGGGAGGACTGGCCAGCTGGGTCTTGAGTTCTCTAGAACCAGGTCAGGTCTCTAGGCGGACCCTCTTCCCTCAGACTAGATGACTGCTCGATGATTCAAAACCCCCTTCAGCCCCAGATCCCCACTTCAGGCAGGGTATCAGAACCCCCTCGGAGCTTGCTGAAACCCCGAGGTCAGACCCCTCTTCAGGTCTACTGACAGGATCTTTAGGTGGGGCCCAGACAGCTGTGTTTTAAGAGATTTCCAGCTGGGCCCTAAAGACTGGGAACCACTGCACACAACATGGGCCAGGAGTGGGAGGAGAGTGGTCACACCCCTGAGGCCAGACAAAGAAACCCTTGCTCCCCAGCAGGGACTCTCAACAGTCTGTGGGAGGGTCTCCTTTCTCCAGGAGCAGGGTAGAAGCTGGTTATTCCAGGGCAGGTAAAAAAAATTCTGTGTCTCTAAAGCACAGATATACACACACATATACACACACGCACATACAGTGCGTAACCAGATATACAGCATATTTGTGGTCTTAACATTTCAGGTAGGCTACCAGGGATGGAAAGTCTACAAAGGCTCCTTACGGGGGCGATGGTAGAAAACAGGCTGAGAAGCACCTCTTACTACTCAAAGGGCCTGAGAAGCACAAGAGCACAACGAATACTCCACACCTGGATGTGCACACACAGAAACACAGGCAACACACACACACACAGCCCACACCTGGATGTGCACACACACAAACACAGGCAACACAAACACACACATATACACAGCCCACATCTGGATGTGCACACACACAGAAACACACAGCCCACACCTGGATGTGCACACACAGAAACACAGGCAACACACACACATATACACAGCCCACACCTGGATGTGCACACACAGAAACACAGGCAACACACACACACACATACACACAGCCCACACCTGGATGTGCACACACACAAACACAGACAACACACACACACACATATACACAGCCCACATCTGGATGTGCACACACACAGAAACACACAGCCCACACCTGGATGTGCACACACAGAAACACAGGCAACACACACACATATACACAGCCCACACCTGGATGTGCACACACAGAAACACAGGCAACACACACACACACACACACACAGCCCACACCTGGATGTGCACACACACATACACACAGCCCACACCTGGATGTGCACACACACAAACACAGGCAACACACACACATATACACAGCCCACACCTGGATGTGCACACACAGAAACACACAGCCCACACCTGGATGTGCACACACACAAACACAGGCAACAAACACACACATATACACAGCCCACACCTGGATGTGCACACACACAAACACAGGCAACACACACACACATACACACAGCCCACACCTGGATGTGCACACACACAAACACAGGCAACACACACACATATACACAGCCCACACCTGGATGTGCACACACAGAAACACAGGCAACACACACACACACACACACACACACAGCCCACACCTGGATGTGCACACACACATACACACAGCCCACACCTGGATGTGCACACACACAAACACAGGCAACACACACACACATATACACAACCCACATCTGGATGTGCACACACACAGAAACACACAGCCCACACCTGGATGTGCACACACACAAACACAGGCCACACACACACACATATACACAGCCCACACCTGGATGTGCACACACACAGAAACACAGCCAACACACACACATATACATGCAGCCCACATCCAGACATGCACACACAAATACACTCCACACCAAGGCATTCACACAGTCACATACACACACACCCCACACCCAGACACACACATACACATACACATATTCCACACCAAGGCATACACACACACACCCCACACCCAGACATGCACTCACACATATACATGCACCCCACACCTGGACTGAACACATACACACACACCCTACACCCAGACGTGCATGCACACACAAATACACATACTCCACACCAAGGCATTCACACAGTCCCACACACACCCCACACCCAGACATGCACACACACATATACATGCACCCCACACCTGGACTGAACGCACATACACACACCCTACACCCAGAAATGCACACACAGATATACACATCCCACACCCAGACTGAATGCATACACGCACACACAAGTCACATCTGGACACACACACACCCCACACCCAACATGAACACACACACATTCACACACGCAAACACACCCAGGGTCATACGTGCGTGCACACACATATACACACACACACACCTGGACATGTACACACACATGCGGGGATACACATGCTCCCAGGCACACACACACACACAGGCCACACCTGGACACAGCCCACGCACTAGCACACCCCACACACAAATGAATAGAAAGTCTCTCTCACACATATGCAAACACACACACTCTCTTCTTCACCCTCCCACACAATCATCAAGAGACTCCAGTAACACTGCATTAGTGAAGAGGAGACTAGGTTAAGATTTTAATAAGCTTTTAAATAAACAAATATACCTTTACCAGGACACCATGTTTTTTATTAATGTGACATCTTGGCCTTATGTTTCTTGAGAATAGAGGAGCCACACAGCCGTCTTCACACATGGCCACCCGTGCATGCGTGTGGGTGTAGAGTTGTTTTTGAGATGAGTGTGTGTGCTGTTCATGGCTGTGAAGGAGACACACGTCTCCATGCAGGTGTGTGCGTGCAGGGATCTTCTAAGTGTGTGCTGAGTGTGCGTGTCACGGGCAACAGCTCAGGAAGAAGCAGTGTGTGTGTGTTGTGTGTGTATGCTCATTGTATGTGTGTGTGCTCGTGTGTGTGTGCTCATGTGTATGTGTGTGCATGCTCATGTGTATGTGTGCTTGTGTGTGCGCTCGTGTGTGTGCATGCATATGTATCTGTGTGTGCTCGTGTGTATGTGTGCTTGTGTGTGCGTGCTCGTGTGTGTGCTCGTGTGTGTGTGCACACATGTGCTATGACTCTGGGGTCCTTAGGCAGACATTGTCAATTCCCAGAGCACTCAGTCTTTCAATTCTCCCTGTTCACCATCGTATTCCTTACTTTTGCCAACACAGTGCACACTCCAGGAATATGTGCTGAACGAGTGAATGAACAGACGAATGTAATTTAAGTATCTCAGTTTCTGTTCTCTTCATTAAACCTCATAAATTGCCCTGTGACTTAGATACCATCCTGCTCATTTTACAGATGAGGAGACTGAGGCTTGGAGAATTTGAAGCAGCACCTCCACCATCGCCATCCACGTCTTCTACCTCCCAGGCTTGCACAGGGCACACTGGCTACCCTGCGGACCCCTGGGAGACCCAAGCAGGGTGGCCCGGGCTCTGCCTTCTCTGAGGTGGGGTCAGCCCTGCTCAGGTCGTTGCAGGAGGGCTGCTGAAGAGGCAGCCTTGTTGGAATCCGGCGCCCATGGCAAGACTCTCTTGTGAGGTTTCCGACAATCCCTGCCCACATTTTCCTCCGCTCCTTCCTGGTGCCACCAGACTCCTGGCCCTCAATGTCTGCTGCCCTGGCCCCTTGAGAGTCCGCTGGAGCCTAGCGCAGAGCAGATGGGCGATGTTCACCCAGAGCAGCCATTCTGACTCTGTCCCTCGGGTCTGGTACATACTGTGTGCCAAGGTTAATTAAACCGGTAATTAGAAGGAGAGATGCTTAATCTATCTGGTTAGTAAAATAACCCCCCTCGCATGAGCTTGCGGACGCCGTCACTCTCCGGGCGGAAGCGGAGATGCCGCAGCCCCGACATCGTGGATCAGCCAAGCAGAACGCTGCTTGCTGTCTGTGGGCCTGGCTCCTGCCCCGCGCGGCTCCCCGAGTCCTGGAACCAATTCCTGGGCCCACCTCAGCCACTTCAGGGTGGGATCTTGGAGGGAGCTTCAAGCGAGGTCAAGCCGGGGAGATAGCTGGGGGTGTCCAATCCCAGAGAAGGCGCCGCGGTGACAGGCGGCACCACAGGTTTGTCCCCCAGGCACCAGGCCCAGGGCAGTGGCTCAGCACCCCGGGGGTCTCGCCCGCGGCCGGGACCCTCTCCTGTCCTTTCCTCACTCTCCTTTCCCTTCCTTCAAGGGGAGCTCTGACCCTCGCACTCTAAATTATATCCTTGGTGAATATCTTTAAAAATTAATTTTTAATCCTACATATAAAACATGAATACATTATTTTGTGTTTTTAAAAAAGACTGCACATCACCCCGCCTCACATCCTTGGTTTTTCCAGGGAGAAAGCCGCTGGCGGAGTCTGCTGCACGGCCTCCTGGGCCTTTCCCTCCATGGGTGCAGGTCTATATGTTGGCATCAGTCACTAGATTTTTTACTATCTGGTCTCTTGCTGTATGCTTCCTTCAGCGGTGTGTCTTTCCCCCTCACTAACCACATGATGAGCTGATGTTTTCTTCAGGTACATTTCATCGAGATGGAATTTTTCTGGATGAAGAGAGGAGCCTTCCCCGCCCTCAGGACCCCACGCCGGGAACGTCTTGGAACCTGTATCAGGGCACCCCCTGAAAGTGGACCCTCAGCCCCAGGGGTCCACCCTGCCCCACCCCAGGCTTGCCGCCACTGCCCAAACACTGCCCCAGCCCCTATTCCCCCTGTGCCTGGAGTGGGTCAGGGTGACAGCAGGCCCCTTCCCTCCTCCATCGCGGAGACACCGCAGCTCACAGAGGACAGCTCTCTGTGTGCGAGGCTGCCTCAGCCCCACTGTAGCGGCCGCCTCCTGCCAGCCTCACAGGCCCCCAACAGGGTCTGGCTCAGGTGCAGGGTCTTCAAAGAGACAGGCCACCTCCCACTTCCCACCTCAAAGGACAGCCTGGAGGGACAGGGCCTGAGTGACAACTGCTCCCTGGGGGCTGCTCACCTGCACGGCCGCCCCGCTCTCTCTCAGCTCCTGGCAACAGTGAGAGCAGACCCAGCTGATGGGCAGCAGCCGCAGGCGAGGGCGGACGTGTGCGGGTGTAGGGGAACGGGTTTTATTAACCTCGTAATGATCCACTTAATGGGCTTTGAAGTCGGGCGCATCCAGCAGCTAGAGCAGGTGGCCCCGAGGCCACAGGGTGTGAGCTGGTGGGACGTGGGAGTCTGGAGGGTCTTTAGCTACCAGAGCTCCACACCAGTTCCCAATCTAAAGGGAATAACAGGACACATGTTTATTATTATTTTTTAAAGGGGCATGAAATAGATTAGAGAGTGAAGGCAGGACCGGACAGGGCATGGGCTCATCCCACCTGGTTGCTGGTGCCAGCTGTGTGGCCTTGGGCAAGTCATATCAGCATCTGAGCACAGCCCGCTCACCCTCACCCACCCATCTGTCCATCAGATAGTCATTCATTCAACAGGTATTTATTGACCCCCCTGCTCTATGTCAGGCCTTGAGCTATGTGGAAGACTTTGTGTTTTTGGAGCCAAGTACTCCAGTGGGGGGTAGCAGGTGGGAGAGAGACTGACAATAAGTAAGCAAACAAATAGAACAACAAGATAATTCCAGAGGCTGCAGAATATAAAGTGGGCAAAGTGAGAGAGAGGGGCAGAGAGGAGGAGTGGAGTGCATCTCTATGGAAGTGTGGCCAGGGAGGGTCTCTGAGAAGGTGCCATTTCAGCAGAGACCTGATTGAAGAGAAAGTGGCAGCAGCCGTAGGGAAGACCTGGAGGAAAAGTGTTGTGGACAGAGGGATCAGCAAGTGCAAAGCATCCTGGGGGGAAATGAGCTGGATGTGTTTCCAGACCCCAAGGACAGGCAATGCAGCTGGAGCCACAGGGTGTGGCCGGAGGACATAAGTAGGGGTTGGAGTCCGAGAGGTGGGCAGGGACCCAACCCCCAGAGCCCTGGAGCAAGGAGAATCTAGAATATTGCAAGAGCAAAGTGAAGCCAGCGGAGGGTTCAGGAGGGAGTGACAGGATGTGATCTGCAGCCGAAATACATTCTTCTGGCTGCCACGTAAGATGACTGGGTAAAAAAGGGGGGGGTTTAGGGTGGCAGCCAATCATTTTTAAGCCCGTTTCAGTTCCAAAATCCTGTAGTGCCTCGCCCCTTTCCTGTTCTACAACAACACTAAGGATAATCTCTAACATTTGAAGGGTGTTTTCAACGTTTACAAATCACATTCGTGAACAATTCTGTTTCATTCTCACAGATGCTCCTTTCAATACTCTCCCAGGGAAGTGGACTCCTCTGACCACCTGCAGGGCAGCCCCAGAGTGGAGCCTCCAGGGACCTGGGACCTTCGAGTGCTCTGCTCGCAGGGCCAGTCGGAAGGCTGAGAATGCCATTTGTCTGGCGGTGAACATCCGTTGTCTGCCAGCCAGGGTCCCAGACCCCCTCTTTGGGTAGTGGTGCTCCCATCTTCCTTTGAAGAACCTGCACCACCACCTCCATGCACAGTCTCTGTGGCTCAGATGAAGCCACTGTAGTCCTGGCTCCAGGGTGGCCAATCAGAGTTTCCCAACATCCTGGCTTCCACAGAGGTTGGTTCAAATTGAGTCCTCCATTTGTACCAGTGAGAACCAATCCTGAGGCTGAAGCCTGGGCTTACATAGAAGATGCTCCCTTTCAGGTGGGATGGGCCACATGGCAGGGTAGGGGCCGGAAGGGCTGATGGCCAGCAACTGGTAAAAGCCTGCCTAAGCAGGGAGCCCCCACAGAGGAGGGCTGACAAGGAGATAAGGAAGGAGAGACTTGTTCTGTTGGAGCACCCAGATCTGGCCATACCTGAAGCCAAACTTCTCTCACCCTAGGGACTCTTCGATGACAAGAGCCCCTGAATTCCCCTTTGAGTTTGAGCTAGTTTGAGATGGATTTCTGACCCTTGCAGCCCAATTGGGCCCTTACCAATAAATACACATTTGTACAACCCTTAAATGTTTATAAACAGACTCTCACACACAGGGCTTGATTCAGTTCTTAGAGCAACTCTGGGAAGTAGGCACTTTTTTTTTTTTTTGAGACGGAGTCTTACTCTGTTGCCCAGGCTGGAGCGTGGTAGTGCGATCTCAGCATACTGCAACCTCTGCCCCCGAATTCAAGTGATTCTCCTGCCTCAGCCTCTCGAGTAGCTGGAATTACAGGCGTGTGCCACCACGTCTGGCTATTTTTTTGTGTGTGTGGATTTTTAGTAGAGACAGCATTTCACCATGTTGGCCAGGCTGGTCTTGAACTCCTGATCTCAGGGGATCCGCCCACCTTGGCCTCCCAAAGTGCTGGGATTACAGGCATGAGCCACTGCCCCTGGCCAGAAGTAGCCATTTTTATCCCCATTCCACAGAGCGGGGCAGTGAGGCCAGAAGATTGAGTTGTCAGGAGCAGAGCAAGGACTTGGACCCCAGCCTTCAGTCATTCCCCTCCTGGAGGACCAGTGTGCCGCACACAGGATCTCCCCCAGGGAACTTCTTTGCTGTCATGAGCCAGGCCTCTATGCCCCTCCCTTTGCCCACCGAGGCCTAGGACCGGCCTGTCTGGCTTCTTTTTCCTGGCTGCTGTCCCCTTCAGCCTGGGGTTCTTGGAAGCCAGACCCTCCTGCCTATTAAATGCCTATTGTGTGGACGGCTGTGCTCCAGCACATGGGGACACGGCACTGAACGGGACCAGCACTTGCATTCTGCAGGGTGGAGACAGATGACAAACACAGGAAGGAGATATTTTCAGGCAGGGATACCTGCTATGAGGAAACACAAATGGACAAAACTCAAGAGATGTGATGATGACCAGAGGAGGGAGAGGGTGCTGAGTGAGATGACGGAAGGCCTCTCCTCTGAGACCTGAGTGATGAGAAGGTGCCCAAGGCAACAACTGGCTACTGAGTTTCCCAGGCAGAGAGCACAGCCGTGCAAAGGCCCTGTGGGGGACTGGGCTGGAGGAACAAGGCTGCTGGGGAAGGAGGGCCGGGACGCAGGGAGGGGTTGGCAGGGGCAGCCCTGGGTACATTTATAAATTTGGGCCTTATTATATGTGTAGTGGGAAGCCAGGGGTTGGGGGCGTCGATAAACAGGGGAGGGACACTATAAAGCTCACTCAAGAAACAGCAGTCTGGTGGCTGCGGGAGGACATGTGGTGGGGACAGAGGAAGCAGGGTGCGCCCAGCCCACTCCAGCCCTCCCAGTCGGATCCTGTTGAGCCCCGAGCTCTCTTCTCATCTGCAGACTCCCGCGTTCAGCTCTGGGCACCTGGGGAAGGATGCATCTTGACAAAGTTCAGCCAGGGGATTAGCGCCCCATGGAAATGGCCTCCTATTTTCTATTATGTTCATCCACAAAGGCGCACTTCTTCAGGCTCCAAGGGATCTGCCCCAGGGGAAGATCTTTTCCCCTAATGCCAAGGACCAGGTCCCTCCTCAGTAGCGTCTCTGGAATTTGGAGAGTCCAACCCCCAATACCCAGCCCCCTCCATAACTGCAAGAGGCACTGTTGTGAGCATGAGTGGACACTGTACCTGTGTGCCCATGGGCTCGTGAGCAGGAGCAGATGACTGAGGGCAGGAGGAAGGGAAGGGATAGATCCTTCCCTGGGAAGGATCCTGGTGGAGGAGAGAAAGGCCCCAGGCTACTGGAACCCTGCCACCACCTCCGCTGCCTGTCTGCTTCCATCAGGAGAGCCATCGGCCTCACAGGCTATTTTATCTGTGTTTATTGTCTGTCTGCCTGTGTCTCGCTCTATCTTCTGATGTGCCTGTCTCTCTGCTGTCAGATGCCCCCTCAGCTGGAGCCAGTGTTGCTGAAGACAGGCACAAGCCCGCATCTTCTCCCTGAGAGCGGCATGCACAGCCTTTGGCCCCTGGGGCCTCGACGCCACTGAGAAAAGCAAAAACAGCTCCTCAGCTGCACAGCCCTTTACAGTTTGCATTTCTCTATCCCACGCACATGTTTAATTATATCCTTGCCTTGTTCTTGAAGGAGTTTAAGGCACTAACCCTCTGTTTGTTCTTCACAGTGACATTGTGGGGTGCACAGGCACAGACTCAGCCCATTGGCAGCTGAGGAAACCGGGGTGGAGCCAACGTGTGTGAGGGGCAGGGCTGGACTCCAGCCTCGGGCGCGGGTTGGGTTGCTGGTGCAGGGAGTTTCCAGAGCCCTCCCTCTCCCGGAGGTTCGGAGGTTGCACTACCTGGAGGTGTCCCATGCCACCCTGCCCTGTCGTGGGCTCAGCAGGCTGAGCTGGTCACTTCCTGGTTCTCTTAGGCCCCTGGTTCCTCAACTTTCCATCTAAATTTCCTGGGGAAGGCTCCTGTAAGTGGGGGAATCCCTTGGGGAGTGGGGGAGAGGGAAGGGGATTCAGTCTGGGCCAGGGACGGAGGGTGGGGTGCTGAGGGCTGCTGTGAAGTGCCTGCCTGGGCCCCACCCTGCAACGTGGCCACGAAGGGCTAGGCCTGGGGAGGGATTGAAGGGTCTGCAGGAGGGTTGGTGGGGAAGAGCAGGGGCTGCCCAGCTGACAGCAGGTGACAGGATGGCTCGGCCGAGCTGCTGCCGCTGCAACAAAGGAAGGGAGCAAGGGGGGCGACGAGGCTTGGCCACCGTTCTCCCAGCTGCCCTGGGTTTGAAGCTGAGCCACTTTGCTGGCTCCAGCACAGCGCGAACAGGTGGCAGCAAGATTGGCACAGCCAGGAAAATCCATCTTGCGGAGGCCAGCATGCAGCAGAGCGGGAGAGGAGCAGCCAGACGGAGGGGAGGCAGAAGGAGAGGAGGGGAGGGGCTGCAAGGAGGGGACCCTGTCATCCCCAGGCCTGGCCATCCCCAGGGCAGCTCCTCCCGGCTTCCCCGACACATGTCCTTGTGTACCCACAGAGCCAGCTCTGCACTCAAGAGACCTCCAGAACCCTCAGGGACCTCGGGCCGGCCAGGTTTCCTACCTGGGAGGGCCCACAAGGCACCTGCCTTCTCCTTTTGCCCTGTTGCCCCTGCCTTCCAGCCAGCCTACCCTCCAGCTTGTGCCAGGTGGGCTTCCTGGCACAGGGAACACTTGAGCACCTGGGGTGGAAGGAGGCACCTGGAGCTCCCAGGTGGGCTCCCAGCTCCAGGAGTAGCAGGTTGAAGTTTCTTGCCTGGCAGCTCTGTCAGAATGGGCAGCCCCCAACACCTGCTGCAGCACCTGGTGGCTCGGCTGGGGGCTGGTTTGCTCAGCAGTGCCCCAAATCATGACCATGTGGGCTCTGCCACAGCCCCATGAATACTGCCCATGCGTGAGGTGCTGTTTGCCACTCAGCAATCACAGGCTTGTGCATGGTGCTACCTGAACACTCAAATGAACCGGCTCTGGAATTCACTCGGTCCCCACTTGGTAGGTGTCTGTGAAGGGTTTAGCCTGGGCCAAGCCCTGTTCCAGGTGTAGAAGACGTAGCAGGAAAGAGGACAGGCAAGGTCCAAGCTCACGATGCTTACATGGTGGAGGGACAAGTCAACCAATGAACAAGGTTCTTTTTATTTTTATTTTATTTTATTTTATTTTATTTTATTTTATTTTATTTTATTTTATTTTATTTTATTTAAGACGGAGTCTCACTCTGTCACCCAGGCTGGAGTGCAGTGGCATGATCTCGGCTCACTGCAACCTCCACCTCCCGGGTTCAAGCAATTCTCCTGCCTCAGCCTCCCCAGTAGCAGGTGCCCGCCACCATGCCCAGCCTATTTTTGTATTTTTAGTAGAGATGGGGTTTTACCAGGTTGGCTAGCCACTCGAGTACCTGAGATTACAGACATGTGCCACCATGCCCGTCTAATTTTTGTATTTTTAGTAGAGACGGGGTTTCATCATGTTGGCCAGGCTGGTCTCGAACTCCTGACCTCATGATCCTCCCGCCTCGGCCTCTCAAAGTGCTGGGATTATAGGCGTGAGCTACCACACTGGGCCGTGGTCATTTTAGATAGTGATAGGTTCGTGCAGAAATACACAGAGTGATGAAAAAGTACCTGGAGGGGTGGCCTTCCAGATGAGGTGGCCAGAGAGGGCTTCTTTGAAGAGGTGGCATTTGGGCTGAGAATTTGGATGTGGAGAGAAAGAACTGAAGATTGGTTCAGAGTCGAGCTGGGGAGTTGGCGTTCCCTGGGCTGGGAAGGACTGGGGACGCCTGTGAAGTTAGGGAGGGGCCATAGAGGATATTCTTTCTCCTTCTTTAAAAGTGCAGCTTAAAGGGAATTCCCACACTCCTCCTGCCTCTTGGGCTAGCCTAGCCTGGGGACCCTCATCCTACCCGAGAGCCTGAGTGTTCGCCCCTACCCCACAGACACGTTCACTCCGACCTGCTCTCCCATGCACTCTGAGTAAGCTGTATCCCTTCTTGAAGATGGACAGCACTTTACAAACTCCATATGCTCAGTTTTCTTTTATTATTTTAATTTCTAAATACTTGGGAAGGTTTCCAGCACTGGCTTCTGCTGTGATTCTGGTGCCAGCAAACACACTTTGCTCTGTCCCCCTCCTCCTCATCCCTTCCTTCATCCAAACCACAAAGACTTCTTCCAACTTGGAGGAGAACTGGGATGCAGGGGGAGAAATTCAGCCAGCAAGTGGGTGCCCCGTGGGCCTGGTTGAAGAACTGGCAGCCCCAGGAGGCAGCATGGACTAGCAGGAAGAGCCTGGCCTGGCGGGTGGGAAGCCCAGGGTCTAGATGATGTGGGGGTTTCTGAAGATGCTGTCAAATGGCCCCTGGCACAGAACAAGAACTGCAGGTCTTGCCACACAGCCCACTCCACAGAGCCACCCAGGCCTCTCCCCTTCCTGAGTCCCACAGGGTCTGACTCCCCACCCACCAGCACCCATGTTCTCCAGGGGAGCTGGCTTTCTTTCTGGCTCTCAGAGGCCTTGAGGACTTTGCTTTGCTCTTCCTTCTGCCTAGAATGTTCTCCCCACCTCCAAACCTTCACAAAGCTCGCCCTTTGTCTTTCAGTGTTACCTCTTCTGCAAAGCCTTCCTGGACACCCAGTCTGAGCTGGCTTCCCCAAACATTCGTCACAGACCCTGTCGCTAGCTGAAATCTCATGTCTTGCTTTCATGACATGTTCCTATAAGATCAGAGACCTTACCTGTCTTTGCTCTCTTCTGTACTGCCAGTGACTGGAATAGTGCCTGGGGTGGAGTCATACTTTCTTGTTGAATGAATGAATGAATGAATGAATGAGTTTTCCAAGTTTCCTGTCCATCTCCTCCTCCTGCCAGCTCCCATTGGTGGAAGGGAGATAGGGTTCTGGGTAACTCATAGTCTGGTATCTAGAGAAACAGGATGACATTTATTGACTGGCTGCCAGGAGCCCCCATGTGACCACATTCAATGGGCTACCCCCGTTTTAGTTACAAGAAAATGAAAACTCAGAAGAATAAGAACCTGCCCAGAATCAGGCAGCTTGAAAGCAGGGGAGCCACGATTCAGACTCCTGGCTTTGCTACCCTACCAGGCCATAGATGGACCACAGAGAGATGACCAATTTTCAAAGAATTGGAATAATAAAGTGCACTTAGCACCACGCACTGTTGACTGTAAGTCAATGCCACTTTGATGACTCAGAAGGTGATGATTTCAGAGCCCCAAGGGGCACTGTCACCGCTGAGTCCCGATCTCATGGAGCGGGCCCACACCTGTGCACAGCGTGGAGCACCGACAAAGCTGTGTGACCCCACGCCGTGCCCTGGGGGCTGCTTTCCAGGCAACAGCGCTTGTCTCCGCAGACGGTCCTCTGCTTTTTTGTTTGGAAGAAAGGAGGCTAGTGCCTTGATGTGAGGTTTCCTGCGGCGTGTAATCTTGACCAGCGGGAGTCTCCAAAGCCAGCCTCAACCAGGAGGGATGGCGACACCACTAGATCCTTTTGCATGGTGCCAGGATAGCTGTGAAGCTGCAGCCTCGCCTCCTCCCAGCCTGTGCTCGCGGCCACGCTTTCAGAGCATGAGCCAGTGTTTGCGAGGCAGCGCCCATGGCAGCCGGTGCCCTCCCTTCCCTACCTCCCCGTCCTTCAAATCACTCGCCACCATTGGTCACACCACGCATTTGATTTATTTTGGTAACATCTCCCCCTACCCACCCCTGCTGGACTGTAAGCTCCACAAAGGCAGGGCTTTGTCTGCTGGGTTCCCTGCTGGCCTCGCCCCCAGCACCGTGGCTGCCACACCACTGGCACCCCATGTTTGTGCAGTGACTATTTCCCCATCGCCTGTCATTCACATCCCACCTTCACAATTTTGGTCGTAACTGTGCCTCACTTGTGCTATTTAATATTTTTCTTTCCATCAACCCCGTTTAAAAAAAACTTAAAGAAATGAAATGTAAGAGGAAGCTTTTTTATCACTGCCATAAATGGAAAGCCAATATCACTTGCCATAAATAGAAGACAACTGTTAAAATAAATGCCACAAAAACAAAACAATGTGATGAAATCTGAGCAAGAGCTGGTTGCCGGTGGAAGGCAAGAAGGCTGGGGCCAGCTCTCCCTCTGTGCTAAACAAGGGAGGGCAATGAGCCCTAGAGAGGTGTTAAAGACAGGCTCACACCAAACCCAGACTTTGTCCTTGATAGAGGCTCTTAGAGCTGAACAAGGAGTCACTTTCTCAGCAGGCAAGTGAGGCAGTGTGACTTAACTCCATCCCCAGCACCTCTGAAGATCATTCCCCCCACTATGGGACTTACCCTGTGCTTTGAGGAATACAGAATCTGGAAAAGTTGGTGGGGCTAGACCTGGAGGAACTGCTCCCCAATGCACCTGGCAATGCTAGCCCCTAAGGTGCTTTTGTACAAGTCAGATAAAGAGCTCTTTCTGGGGGGAGGTGGCCCCGAGTGACAGGGCTGGGCAACTGTACAGTGCCTTTGTGGGCAGAGAAAGGTGCTCTGTCCCCAGGATCTTGCTTTCCTGCCAGGGTCCCGACGCCCATGGATCCATGTCTCAGCCTCAGCTCTTATTCCAGTCTTGCTCATGTTCCGGTCAGTTTTGTCCGAGCCTGTGTTCCTCACCTGGAAGCAGCTCCTGGCTGCAGGGGCTGTCTTGCTCATACGTGTGTCCTCCACCATGTGACAGTGTCCTGCATGGAAACATTTGAGGACTTGAATGGAATTGATGGTTAATCAAACTTCAAATAGCCAACATTTCCTCCTGTCCAGACAAATAATACCAAAAAATTCATCTACGCTCTCTGCCTTGGTGGCTTTTTTCTGAAGTCTTCCCAGCACCAGGTGGGCCGATGGGTATTTCCCAGTTCCCACACCCTTTGAAAGAATTTTGTCTTCCTGATTCCTGAGCTCTCCTGTCTGATCCAGTCTTTGTTTAGGCCTCAGGGAGTTTCCATTAGAATGCTTTGCGTTGCAAGTGACAGGAAAACCCAAGTCTAATTGATTACCTCCTGGGGAGTTTATTGAGTGGAGGTAGTGTTAGCATCACGTGAGGCTTGGTCCAGCGGCTCCAAAGATGTCACAAGGACCTTGTTCCTTCCCATCGCTCCTGTCTGACCTCCAGGCTCCTTGTAGAACATTCCGTCCTCCCACTTCGAGCAGTTCCAGGCTATCCCTTCCTGGTAGCAAAATTCCAATTTTATACCACATCCTTCAGGGAAACAATGAAGGTCTCTCCCAACAGCTTCCATGGAAGATAGGAGAAACCTTGCTCTACCAGAAACACTAGGAATATTCTTGCGTCTTATGTGCTGATTGGGTTACTTGCCCATCTCTCAACCAATAGCCACAGCCAGGAGGAGGGAATATGCTGAGTGGCCAATCAGGGCCTGCTCCTGAAGGTGGGTGTGAAGTCAGCTCACCAATCATGAGCTGAGAATGGATAAGCGCCCCGAGGGGAATGCAGGTGAATGGTCCCAGAAGGAAGAGGGGTTGGGTGCTGGGGGCAAACCATAGATGTCCCACTTGTGGGGGAGGTGAGCCAAGAAAGCCAGCCATTGTGGGACTTGGAGTTTTGCAATAGTTTCTCTTCTTCCCCAGGGTACAGTCAGGTGGGACGACAGGCTGGGACCACTCTGAGAATCCAGGTGCTACTGGGTCTGAAAAAGACAAGGGTGAGCTGGGTGCCTCCCCCCCGCCCCCACCATGGAGACATAGAAGGTTAGGACTGGAGGGACCCAGCAATACTCAGCTAGCAGCTTAACAAGGATGGTGGGCAGATTGCCGGAGGTGCAGGAACCTTCCAAATCACTTGCCAAACTTGTGGGGTCCTCTGTGTACTTTTCTGGGCAGGGGGCCAACAACTTAATGAAGTCTCAAAGGGGTCTCCAGCCTAAAAGAGGTGCTTGCTCAAGGTTGAACCAAGAGCTGCTAGCAGAATCCAGAAGACAGTTTGGGTCCTCTAACTCCTCGCACAAGGTGCCCACATGCTTCATCTTGTGTAATGAACTCTTGTTCATGTGACATAGGAGCTGCTGTCTCCATTGTGCAGATGGGAAAATTGAGGCTAAAGAGAATCTGTGATTTGCTCAGGCTCACGAGTGGTGTAGTGGGTTCAAACCCAGGTATCTCTGTCTGTTTTATCTCCATTATTCCTTAGAGCCATTCAGTAATGCGAGATCAGGCAACGTTGTTCAAAGGTTCTCAAAACTGCCCATCTACAGCCTGAACATGAGAAAACTGCCTCTAAAAGGGAGTCCACTTTTGCCCTGCCTCTAAGTATGTCCACCCAGGACTCACAGGCTTGGCTTCTGATCAACTTGACAATCTCAGTTTGCTGGCTCACCTCTCAGAGCTTCAGGTCCCTCATCCTTAATGGGACCCAACAATCCTTACCTTGCAAAGCTGTTTGGGGGGTCCCCATGGGTCCTTGTTGGGATAACATCATGTGCATGGCAAGGCCTGATGTGGGAGAGAGGTGGCTCTTTGGCCACCTGGATTCAAATCCCAGCTTCATCATGACCATGTCACCTGGACCAAGCGACTTTCCCTGGGCTGCCATTTCTTTGTCTGCAGAATGGGGGTGTCCACAACACCTGCTCAGTGGGGTTGGAGCATGATCATGCAAACCACCTGGTACACAGACTCCGCTCCCCAAATGTGGACCATGGCATCTCTTAGAGGTCATCTGGTTGCGCACTCAGGAACCCCACTCTTCCTTGGCTTGCGGATGATTTCCCCATGGCCCACAGAGGACATGGGCGAATCATTTAGAGAGACAGCATGGGTTGGGGAAGCGAGCTGACCTTTGGGGAATGGTGTCTCTGTGCCAGGTGTTTTGCATATATTACCATGCTCCAGCCCCTCAGCACCACCAAGCAGGTGCTATGGATATTAGGTACGAAGAAATGGCAGCCCAGGGGTAAGTCACTTGGCCCAGTGGCACGGTATATTGATGAGGTTGAGATTTGAATCCAGGTCTGTCTAAGGCCAAAGCTGTTGCATTCTCCCCTACCGTGCTCGCCATGAGCCGGAGGGCAAAGCGCATGGCTGTGTGATGGGGACACTCCGGATGGCAGCAAGGCTGGCCTGACCAGCCTGACCATCATTTAATTTAGACCTGTTCTTTGCTAGCTCCTTAGGGAGGTGCCAGGGGCAGGGGCCTGCACAGGGACAACCGGCCCAGCCTCATTGCTTCTCATGCCCAGCCTGCCACCTCCGGTGCAAGATTCAGTGGCCCCACTGCCCCCTGCAGGCCTGGCTGCCCTTTGGGCTCTGGCGTGGAGGAGTGGGGGGCTTCCTGCTCCAGTGGGCAAAGCTGCTGCCCCCACACACTGCTCCAAAAGCCATAAAGCAGCTGAGGAAAAATGACGACGGCCGAGGAAACGAGCCACGGAGGAAATTAACTCACACCCAGGGAGCCGCGTGGCTTTCTGCTGACAGAGAGGGCCGGCTGCCTCATAAAACTAAACACTTAAACTCTCCTCTTTACAATAATTATGGCTCCTTGAATACCTCTTCCCGCTGCCCCGGCCCAGCCTGGTTCCTCGCAGGGCACCAAGGGGGACCCACGGGTGGAAGCCGGGGCTCCCTGGGGGAAGGGATGGGAGCCAGGTATGGCTGCTGGAGCCCAGGTGCCTTCAGTGGGGATGCCTGGCCAGGGAGCCAAAGGATGCTAGAGCCAATGGTGCCTTGGGGCCCGGCTGCTGCAGCCTCCTCATTTGACAGATGAGGAACCTGGGAGCCTAGAGAGGGTTTGTGACTAAGTGAAGGTCACCCAGCCAGATGGAGGCAGGACCGTACTGAAAGCAGCACCTCTCCCCGAGGGCAGGGGGGGTCCATTTTCCTCCCGAATCACTGGCCTCCCCACCTACATTTCCTGAGGGCCCGTGCCTGAGCCAGACCCAGTGTGGAGCCCAAGAGGGAAGGAAAAGCACCTGGCTTTGGCCTCATTAGAAGGCAAGCCCCTGGGAGCCAAGACGGCCTCTGCCCGCTTCACGCTGCGTCTCGGCCCCCCTAAGAGGGCCAGATTCAGGTGCGCCCTTGGGCAATGCTTGACTCTCACAAAGCCAGTCTGGGGGGCTTTGGAGCAGCAGCCCTGAATCCCCTATGAGAAAGTGAGTGTCCTTTTCACCTCCTGGCCATCTGGGGCAACCCCAGGAAGACACGGAAGCCAGCAGCAGCTTCCCAGCACAGTGGAGATCGCGTCTGCCAGAGGGGCAGGTGTCAGACTCTGAGTCTGGAGAGGCACCGCGGGTAAGGGGTCTGTCCCTGTAGGTCCCAGACAGGGCTTCTTCTCCCGAGCAGCAACAAGCTGCGCTTCGGGCCATGGACCCCAGCTTCTCCCTCTGCCTGCCCGCAGGGCTGCCCATCGGCTCTGCAGGGGAGGAAACCTGCCCTCTGTGACCCCATAACCTGCTCCCCAGGCCCAAGTCCAGCCAGTCTCCTCCACCCCACATCCCCCACTCCTCCCTGGGACTCCTCCCCCAGCAGCAGCCTTCCTCTCTGCTTGGCACTCACTGCCTTCTGTGCTTCCAGCGCCCCCCAACTCCCTCCCCAAGTAGGGGACAGCTGTTGTTTTTTCCTGCAGGCATCGTCCTGCTCAGTGGGACTCCTCCTCCCCCTTGCTCAGTCCCTGAGCTTTGGAAGAAGCTGCTCGCTCACTCAGAGGGGTGGGCACATACCCTATGTCTGGCCAATCAGTAGAGCCCATCACCCTGGTTACTGAGAGTGGTTTGAAGCTGTTCAGGTAAAGTCGAATCAAGGCAAATCCTGGGATTGTAAGAAGGCCCTAGCCTTTTACTGGAATTGCTGAGCTGGGGTGGGGGTGAACCTGACGTTGCCAAAGACTAGAGAATGCAGCTGACTCAGGAGGTCAGACCTCAGATGGAGCTTCAGCTTCCTGATGACTCACTGGCACCTGGATCCTGCCATGCCTGAAGTCATTGGCCAGGAATATTTATTTATTTATTTATTTATTTATTTATTTTTGAGACAGAGTCTCACTCTGTTGCCCAGGCTGGAGTGCAATGACGCGATCTCGGCTCACTGCAACCTCCGCCTCCTGGGTTCAAGTGATTCTCCTGCCTCAGCCTTCTGCGTAGCTAGGATTACAGGCACGCGCCACCATGCCCAGCTAATTTTTGTATTTTTAGTAGAGACGGGGTTTCACCATGTTGGTCAGGCTGGTCTTGAACTCCTGACCTTGTGATCCACCCACCTCGGCCTCCCAAAGTGCTGGAATTACAGGCGTGAGCCACTGTGCCCAGCCATACATATGTATGTATGTATGTATGTATGTATTTTGAGACAGAGTCTCTGTCTCCCAGGCTGGAGTGCAGTGGTGCAATCTCAGCTCACTGTAGCCTTGGCTTCCCAGGCTCAGGGGAACCTCCCACCTCAGCATCCCTAGTAGCTGGGACTATGAATGCACACCTCCGTGCCCAGCTAATTTTTGGATTTTTTTGTAAAGATGGGTTTTGCTATGTTGCCCAGGCTGGTCCAAACTCCTGAGCTCAAGCAATCTGTCTGTCTTGGCCTCCAAAGTGCTGGGATTACAGGCGTGAGCCACTCGCCTGGATTGTGATTATAATAATTATTTCAGCATTTATATTTTGCCTCGTCCAGTCTGAGTTTAGTTTCTGTCTCTCACAACCAAAAGGTTCTAATGTGGCCAGACCTCCTGTTTAGGGACCCAGCTCACAGGGTAATGGCCTCTCCCCAGTTCCTTCCCACTGAGGAGGCCCAGAACCTGCCTGGGCCTGAGTCTCTCGCCTCTGTGAATTTACTCCCTCTATAAGCAAAGGGCTAGATCTTTTTGCTCTGTTCAGGCTCTGCTGTCTGTTGCTCTGGGGACATTGCATTAAGCAGAAGGGTCCGAGTCACTCTGACCAGGCCTCTGAAGGTCCATATCATGACTTTTCCCCAGACACTGGCTCCCAAGAAAGTGAGCAGGAATCGAGCCAATAGAGTCAGGTCTACAGTTTTATGTTTTCAGTGGTGAATGTTGTTTGCACATACATTCCAATATTAGATGGCACATTGGGCTATTGAAAACGAAAAGGGCCAGGCGCGGTGGCTCACACCTGTAGTCCCAACACTTTGGGAGGCCCAGCAGTTGGATGGCTTGAGCCCAGGAGTTTGAGACCAGCCTGGGCAACATGGTGAGACCCTGTCTCTACAAAAATAAAAACTAAAAAATTAGCTGGGCATAGTGGTGTGTGCTTGTAGTCTCAGCTACTTAGCGGCTGAGGTGGGAGAATTGCTTGAGCCCAGGAGTTCAAGACTGCAAGGAGCTTGAACCACTGCATTCCAGCCTGGGCAACAGAGGGAGATCTTGTCACACACACACACACACACACACACACACACACACAAAGATAAGAAAAGAAAATGAAATGGGAAATGAGGAACAAGTGTATGGTGGCCCCTGCCCCGTGGTGGCCTCAGCATCTGTCCTCCTCTTCCTGGGTACTTTTTCCCTGGAACCACCCCTCTCGGGGATCACGGACTGGGACAGACACCTAGCCAAGGCTTGGCCACCCAGAGCGTGCCATCCCTGATACAGTGATGTCCGGGAGGACACCTGTCCCTGGCCAGGCAAGAGGACTCCATTCTGGGACATTGATCATATCTGTGAAGAATGAGGCCCTGTCTTTCCTGTGGGGCTGCTTGACCTGTATGATGTAAAGCTGGAGCTGCTGGGAACCTCCATGGTGAAAGAGGCTGTCAAAGAATGAAGCCAATGCATGGGAAACAGCAGGATGTGGTGGGGAGCAGAGCCCCAATAACAGTGCTTTTACGCCTGAATCCAGCTGTGCCTCATGCTGTGGTTCATGCCCTTGAATTTCCCAGTTCCCTGTTTTCTTGAGCCAGTTTGAGTTGGGTTTTTGACTCTTTCAAACAATAAAGTACTAATGTAGGAAAGGATTTGAAATTAGTCATTTTTTAAAAATGATGACATTTTACAGGATGCCAAAGTCGTTTATGAATGTTAGAGTACACAAGATTTTAAAAACAGGATGTAACAGACTATGAGAGAAGACGGGCCCCTCCCCTCTGTGCAGGCCAGACTCTGAGAAGCCAGGGGAGATAGGATGGTACTCTCACCTTGCCTCTTTGGTACACGCCGTAACTAAGGTGATGGACGGCTTCCAGCTACATTTGCAGGTGGCTATGTTTGACTTTGTTGACTGGCTCAGGTTTCCCCTCCCTTTCCTGTCAGAGGTAAAAACAGGGGGCACCTTCAGTTAGCGGAAGCTGGGAGGCTGACCTGCCATCCATCCCACCGCCATGGCCAGAGAAGAAGACAGTGGGGGCTTCCGGCAGAGCAGGAGCCATGCGTCAGGACCCCTAAGCCATCCTTCCTGCTCTTGGGGTCTCCAGGTGCAGCGCACAGGCCGCATCCTGCACCACTCCAGGGAGCGCCATCCCATAGACCATGATGGGAATGTCCTCCTCACTGAGCATTTAACACGGGCACCCTGCCTATTACCAGCCCACTCCGGAACACTAGTTGGCAAAGATTTCAAGCTGGAAGACCCGCTACTCAAGAAAATAATTACTGTCAGGGCCCAAGTTGTCGGTAAATTGATTCTAGAGTTCTGTTTCCCTCTATTTCCCCTTTCCACACAAAAGAAACAAGACACAGATGGCTTTGAAAATTTCTCCAAAGGAAATTGCCAAAGATCCTTAACCTTCTACATTCTTCTCTCTCTCTCTCTCTCTCATTCTTTCATTCTCTCCCTTTCCCTCTCTCTCTCCCTCCTGCATCACTTAGACTCTGTGTCGCTCCCCAGCTCCAAGACCCTCGATGGCAACCTACTGCCAAGTGAATGGAATCCAGAGTTTCTGCCCTGATCAAAATGCTTTCTGGGCTCCATGTCCCTGCATCTCTTTCTGGAGCCTGTCTTACTATTCCAGGCACTCAGCTGCTCACAGCTCCCCAAGCACGTCCGACAATTGCCTGTCGAGCTCGCTCTGCTCTGTCCCCTGGAATGCCCCCCTGGCCGACAGCCACCATTCATCCGTCTCCCAACACGTGCCGGCCATGTCACTCCTCGCGTCTCCTGGGTGATATACCCGTCCCTGCCCATTCTAGGAATAGGCAAACAAGCTCTCAGAGAGGTCAGGCGAGTCGCCCAAGGTCACGTAATAATAGGAAGAGGGTCAAGAGTCCACACCCCTGTGTCTGGCTCCAAGCCCAGACCCCTTTCCCAGCTCCAAGAGCCCTGTTCCCCTTCCTGCTCATGGAGACACTGTAGATGCCACACACAGAGCCCTCCGTCCTGAAGAATGCCTGTGCCTCCCTGTACAAGCTGATCAGCAGCTGTTTTTTTTTTTTTCTTATGATCATATCCCGTGTATCAGGCGGGTTTCTGGCAGGAGATGGAAGGCTGCTCAGCTGGGATTTGAGGAGAGCTTAATGAAGGGTCTAATTACATAGGTGCAGGCAGGGCTATAAGAGAAGCCACAGGGGTGTGGAAGCACCAGGGACAAGCCACCCAGAATGCCACTGTGTTGTGACCTTGGCTGGAAGTAGAAGAGCATTCAGACGACACAGCTACTGTTAGAACCACAACCCAGGTGGGGACAGAGTGGGGAAGAGATGCCCCGGCCCCTCCTTCCACCTTCCAGTTTCCTGTGGGTGCTACCCATTGGCTGGCCCCAACTGTAAGCCACAGCACCGAGGAGCCTGGTTTGCAGTCAAGGAAGGTCAGCCTTCCAGGCTCAGAGCCAGAGAGAGAAGGGCTGGGGGGCACTGGAGTGGGGAGGGTGCTGTATTTGCTTCCACTTGCTGCCATAACAATACCACAAACTCGGTGGCTTAGAAAAGCACACGTTTCTTATCCCGCCGTTCTGGAGACCAAGTCCAAAATGCATCTCACTGGGCTACCATCAGGGCGTCGGCAGGCTTGCATTCCTTCTAGAGGCTCCAGGGGAGGATCTGTTTCCTTGACTCTTCCTGCCTCTGGAAGCTGCCTGCCTTCCCTGGCTCGTGGCCACTTCCCTCTTTAAAGCCAGCCATGGCCAGCTGAGTCCTGCAACACCGTCTCCCTGGTTCTGACTCTTCTCTGCTTCCCTCTTCCCCACTTAAGGACCCTGTGATACTGTGGCCCCACCCAGATAATCCAGCGTTATCTTAGTTTAAGGTAAATTGATTAACAGCCTTAATTCCATCTGCAACCTGAATCCTCCCTTTCCTTGTAGCCAACATATTCACAGGTTCCAGGAATTAGGACATGGACACTTTGGAAGGGGGCATTATTCTGCCTGTCACAGGTGCCACACGGAGAACAATGGGCCCACCTGCCTTATGTTCTGGGGTCTGGGTTAGTTCTCCTACTGTGGAGGCTTCTTGAGGACAGGAACTGTTTGGGTTGTCTACTGCTGTGTAACAACGCACCCCAACATTTCAGCGACTTGACGCAACAGCTATTGCTCATCATGCGTGCATCTGTGGATCAGCTTGTGCCCAGCTGACTGGGGCGGGGCTGCTGGCTATCTCTGCGTCTCACTGTGGGTCATGAGTTTCTCATCTTCCTTGGACCAGTGGGCCAGCTGGTGGGATCTTCCCAGGCAATGACAAAGGCCCACAGCAAAGGTGAGAGAAAACACACGGTACCTCCTGAGGTGTGCTTCTGAGCTGTCACTTCCACTCATCTGCCACTGGCCGACGCAAGTTCCATGGCCAAGTTCAAAGTGCAATCTACCTTCCACAAGGCTGTGGCAAGGATGAATGCGGGGAGAGTGAAAAATGGGGGGCACAATTCAGTTCAGGGGCAGCACCTTAATCACATTTGTTTTCTGTGCTGTACCAAAACATTGCTTTTTACGGAGTTGTGCATGGAAATATGTAAGTGAATGAATGAATGAATGAGTTCTTACCAGTAGAACATACTCAGCCAGGCTCCGAGTGTCTCCTACTGTGGTGGAGATGGGCTTTACGCTCTCGCTTTGGTTCTCTGCTGGAGGTTATAGCTGGCAGAGCACGAACACCCCGACACTATGTCTCCTGCACGCTGGGAAACAGCTCGCAACTCTGGAGGGAGAACAGGCCAGGAGCTTGCCTCCCTTCTAGGGAGCATCTGGAGTGCTGTGGAGTGCCTGGGAGGCTGCAACTCCTGCAGATGAGTGGGCACCATGCCATCAATACCATCTCTGCTACCTCCACTGTTTCACTCCCTCCTTCAGAAGTCTCTGCTCCCTGAGTTCCTGCCTATGGAACTGGGCCCACACTGCTTAAGGCTGCCACTGAGGCAGAGCTGAGAAGACCCTGCCCTGCTGTCAAGATGCTTATGGTCTCCCAAGGACACAGGACTCCACAAGCAAGAACAAGATGGATGCTTTAGGAGAATCTATGAATGGAGTGTGGGAGGAGCAACCCAGGAGGACTACATGAAAGAAGCAGCATTGGAGCCGAGGCTAGAAGGGTTTGCCAGGCAGACAAGTGGAGATGGGACCCTTCCAGGGGCCAGCGTAGATGGCACAGATGAACATATAGCCCATATGTGCACGGACTGCTCTGGGAACTAAAGTAGTTCATTATTGCTGGAGAGTAACGTGTGTGTGTATTTGGGGAGGGGTGGCCAGGGGTGGTGAGAGTGTGTGATGGATGAGAAAGCAGAAGCCTCATTGCCAAGGTTGTTTCCTGCAAGATGAAGGGGTTAAATTTCTTAACTAAGCCAGAGGCTGACAAACATCTTCTATAAAGGACAGGATAGTCTAGGCAAGGTGGCTCACACCTGTAATCCCAGCACTTTGGGAGGCTGAGGCAGGCAGATCACCTGAGGTCGGGAGTTTGAGACCAGCCTGATCAACATGGTGAAACCTCATCTCTACTAAAAATACAAAATTAGCTGGGCGTGGTGGTACATGCCTGTAATCCCAGCTACTTGGGAGGCTGAGGCAGGAGAATTGCTTGAACCCGGGAGGCGGAGGTTGTGGTGAGCTGAGATCGCACCATTGCACTCCAGCCTGGGCAACAAGCGTGAAACTCCGTCTCAAAAAAAAAAAAAAAAAAAAAAGACAGGATAATAAATATTTTAGGTTTTGCAGTCTCTGCTGAACCTTCTCACTGCCACTGTGGAGTGCAGGTGTAGTCAGTATGTAAGTGAGTGAGCGCGGCTCTGTTCCAATAAAACTTTATTTGTAAAAACAGGTGGTAGGCCAGATTTGGGCTGTGGGCTATAGTTTGTTGATCCTTGCTGTAAGCCCAAAATCACAGACTGGCAGCCTTCCAGCCAATTTTGTCCCACAGATTTTTGTTTTCTTTTGTATTTTTAGCCAACATTAAAAGATGAGGTGATTTCATGATTTCACATACAAATCTAGATTTCCAGGTTCTTTAGAGAGTCTGAAGCTCAGGCTTGCAATCCCACGCGGCAACAACCAGCTGGAGCCGGCTTCCACTGGGCTATGGGCTCTCCAGTTTGCCAGAGTCCCCACCGCTCCCTATTGCCACCCAGATACCATTCCCTGGCTGTGCTAATGTTCCGCTTGGTGTCCTCCCCACCCCTCACCGCATTAATTTCCCAGGGCTGCCTAGTAACAACGTACCACAAACTAGGGGGCTAAAAGACAGAAATGTGAAGTTCAGGATCTAGGCATCAGGGTTGGTTCCTTCTGAAGGCTGTGAGGGGGAGTCTGTTCCACGCCTCTGCTCTTGATTCTGGCAGCCTCAGGCATTGTTGTAGATGGTATTCTCCCTGTGGTCTGACATGATCTGCCCCTGTGTTTGTCTGTCTTGTCCAAATTCTCCTTTTTTATAGATACCAGTCACATTGTATCGGGGCCGCCTTAGTCACCTCGCCTTAACTTGATGACTTCTGGAAGGACCCTGTCTCCAAATAAGGTCACCTGCTGAGGTGCTAGGGCTTAGAACTCTAGCCTACCTTTTTTGGGGGCACAGTTCAATTCAACCTGTCACACTCACCCAGTCCCTTCACTGCCTTATATTTCCTTCCTGGATCCCACCACTAGTAGCGAGGACCCAGCCACATGTCCCCGGCACAGTCAGATCTGCCTGTCACAAAGATTTTGCAGGTGACAGCACAGAGAACATATTTGGATGGGGCAGGGCCTGGCCCCAGGAGCATGGGGTGGGGGCGGGGGCCCTGGACAGGAGGTGTCAGGGTCAGGAGGGACCGAGGAGAAGATCCTCAGGCTTGGTGCAATGTTGGACACGGGGAGAGGAAGGCGAATGCCTGGGTCTCAGGCTTGAGAGAACAGATGGACAGTTGTGCTTTTGTTTGTTTGTCTGTTTGTTTGAGACGGAGTCTCGCTCTGTTGCCCAGGCTAGAGTGCAGTGGGGTGATCTTGGCTCACTGTGACCTTTGCCTCCTGGGTTCAAGTGATTCTCCTGCCTCAGCCTCCCAAGTAGCTGGGATTACAGGCACCCACCATCAAGCGCAGCTGATTTTTGTATTTTTAGTAGAGACGCGGTTTTACCATGTTGGCCAGGCTGGCCTCGAACGCCTGACCTCAGGTGATCTGCCCACCTTGGCCTCCCAAAGTGCTAGGATTACAGGCGTGAGCCACGGTGCCCAGCCGCAGTTGTGCTATTGCTGAAGGAGCGAGCACATTTTAGTGGAGGTTTTGTACAGGGCGGAAACTGCAGACTGAGCTGGGAGAGAAGACACAAAACTGTGCTCCCAGAATTTCCACGGGGAGAGACCTGGGCCCAGGCTGACCGGAAAGAAGATGGGGGTTAGGGAAGTTCCCCAGACAGGAGGACTCAGGGCAGCCACAGAAGAGGGGGAAGGGCTGATTGGACCACCTCAGCAACACAGAGTCAGGGGTAGCTTGATTTATTGGTCTCGATTTTTTACCCCTCTCTGTATCCATACCCTTTGCAGTTTCTCCCCCGAGGAGCTGCATGTTCCCCTCGACCTTTAACTTTGGGTATAACCATAAGACACGGCCTGGCACCCCACTGGTCCAAGAAAAATGAGAAACACAATGGAGCAGAGCCAGACCCAACCGCCCTCCCAGCGCAGCCCAGGCTGGGCTGCCAACATCCAGGCAGTCTGCACACGTAGGAGTCACATACACCCGGTCCCTGACTTACGATTTTTCAACTTTACAATGATGCAAAGCCATGCATGCTCAGTAGAAACTACTCTGGCTTTTTGAGACGGAGTTGCGCTGTTGTTGCTCAGGCTGGAGTGCAGTGGTGCTATCTCGGCTCACCTCAACCTCCGCCTCCCAGGTTCAAGTGATTCTCCTGCCTCAGCCTTCCAAGTAGCTGGGATTACAGGGATGCGCCATCACACCCGGCTAATTTTTGTATTTTTAGCAGAGACGGGTTTTCTCTATGTTGGTCAGGCTGGTCTTGAACCCCCGACCTTAGGTGATCCACCCTCCTTGGCCTCCCAAAGTGCTGGGATTACAGGCGTGAGCCAAAGCGCCCAGCCCCCAATTTTCACATTTGGTATAGTGTTCAATAAATTACATGAACTATCTGACACATTATTATAAAACAGGCTTTGTTTTAGATGTTGCTGCCCAACGTAGGCTGATAGAAACCTTCTGAGCACGTTTAAGCTAGGCCAGGCTAAGCTACGATGTTTGCCAGGATAGGAGAATCAAGTGCATTTTCCACCTACGAGATTTCTAACTTTCTGTGGGTTTATCAGGATGTGACTCCATCTTACGTCAGGCACATCTACGAAGTTTATTGCCGTTTGCCTCTGAGAGTTTGTGGTTGTTTGCTACATAGCAACAGCTGACTGACACACAGCCAAATTGTACCCTTTTACAGATGAGGAAACTGAGGCCTTAGAAGGTAAGAGGCTTGCCCAGTGATTTACAAATAATAAGCAGCAGAGATCCAGGTGTCCCGATCCCTAACCCAAGAGTCTTTCTTTCTACTCCATGACAGCGACCGTCACCCAGCTTCTGGTTTGTTCGTTCATTCATTCATTCATTCATTCATTTAATAAACACGTGTTCCTGGAGAGACGTAGATGACTTGGGTTTATTCTCAGCCCTCAAAAAGCTCTGTGTGGTGTTGGTGGGAAGACGGGCCTCAAACGAACCACGAGGAATGTGGCAAGAGGTAACAGAGATGTGCTTAGGCACCAAGAAGAGTCAAGGAACCCAGCTCGAGGAAACCAGGACAGGCTTCCTGGAGGATGGGGTGTCTGAGCTGAGTCATCATGAATGAGAAGGAGCTGACCAGCAAACTGAGGAGGAGGGAGGTTGGCGTGAGTGTGGGCTGGAATTGAGGCACAGCGTGGGACTAGTGTGTGGGGCTATGGGCAGGCGGGAGCAGCCGCCAACCAAGGTCAAGTCCGCTTGAGCTGTCCCAGCCATTCAGGTGAGGCAGGGAATGACAGGAGATGGGCTGGAGAAGGGGGGCAGGGCTCACATCCAGGCCTTTATCTCTTGGAAGGAGCTCAACCCCTTTCACAGCAGGTGATTGGGGGCCCTTGGGGATGTGGCCTCGGACAAATGAACTCGTTTGCTGCGCCACAGTTTGCCCATCCCTAAAACCAGGTGCTGGACAAGCTGGCCTTCAGGGGCCCCTCCAGCCCTAAAGCCACTGTGGGGGCCTCACCAGGGGTGGGCACGCCACACAGGAGGTTATCTGTCCCGGCAGCCGATCCAGGCCCAGAGGGGAGAAGAGAAGCCCCCTCTGCCCGTGGGTGGCGACCCTTCCTTCCACCTTCGAGCAGCAGGGAACGTCTCTCTTAGCCAAAGGCTGGTCAAGAACAGGAAGAACGAGGACACATTAGACATTCGACATTAAATATAGGACTATCCAGATGGGGGAAATGACTTTCTGTTTCCCTTCCTCTTCTCCTCACGGAGGGAACATGGGGGAGGCTGGGATTAGTCATTGACGCGAGGGGGGCTGGCCAGCTCCAAAGAGCCCCGTCCTCGCACCCTGCCTCAGAGCCCAGACAGAGACCACCTGAAGGAAAAACAGGCGCCTAACACAAGAACCCCCTATTTGACAGGAGAGGGGCAAGCCAGCCAGGCTGGCAGGAAAATTCCAGGTAATTGATGTTATTTTCCCATTGACTATGTTCTGCCAGAAAAGATTTCAGTTACAGGGTGTCATCAAATCACACTGAAGAATCCTACTAAAAGACTACTTTTATAACGAGGAAAAAAAATGTACTTTTAAAGAGGAGTCTGTGGTATAACCTCCTCAGAGGGCAATTTGGCGATGCCTTTAACACCGTGAAATGCGCACACTCTGATGTGACAATTCCACTTGTGGGAACTGGCCTCGCAAGCGTGTTTGCACAGGCACGCACACACCTGTGCGGGGAAGATGCCCTTTGCAGCACTGTCTGTGGAAGCGGATGACTGGAAGCGACCCCAGCATCACCAGTGAGGCGTTCGGGGCCAATGAACAGGATACCCCATAGGCTGGAATACTATGCAAGCATTCAGAAGACCGTGGCCACTGCCTACGGGAAAGATTTCCAAGCAACAGTGTTCAACAAAAAAGAAGCAAGAGGAAGGCCTCTTTCCTTGGACACAGCCTGCTCTGTGTATGCAGAAAGCAAGGAGGACAGCTGTACAGAGACGGGCAGGAGCTCTGTTTCTTGCAGCGACCATAACAAATGACCATGCACTTGGTGGCCTCAGACAGCACAGATGTATCCTCTCTCTGGAGGTCAGAACTCTACCATCAAAGTGTCAGCAGGGCCATGCACCCTCTGAAGGCTCTACTTTCTTCTTCTTTGAGATGAAGTCTTGCTTTGTTGCCCAGGCTGGAGAGCAACGGCTTGATCTCGGCTCACTGCAACCTCCACCTCCTGTGTTCAAGAGATTCTCCTCCCTCAGCCTCCTGATATCTGGGATTACAGGCGCGTGCCACCATGCCCAGCTATTTTTTTTTTTTTTTTTTTTTTTTTGTATTTTTAGTAGAGACGGGGTTTCACCATGTTGGCCAGGCTGGTCTCCAACTCCTGACCTCAGGTGATCCACCCACCTCGGCCTCCCAAAGTGCTGGGATTACAGGTCTGAGCCACCACGCCTGGCCAAGGAGGCTCTACTTTCCTGTGTCAACTTGACTGGGCCACAGGGTGCTCAGTTATTTGGTCAAACTTTCTTCCAGGTGTTTCTGTGAGAGTGTTTGGGATGAGGGTAACATTGGAATTGGCTGACTGCATTGAGCAGACTGTCTCTCTAATGTGGGTGGGCCTCATCTGCTTGGCTGAAGGTCCTTACAGAACTAAAAGTGTGTCCAGAGTTGCTTCCTTCTGGTGGGTTGGTGGTCTCGCTGACTTCAAGAACAGAGCCACAGAACTTCACGGTGAGTGTTGCAGCTCTTAAAGATGGCACAGACCCAAAGAGTGAGCAGCAGCAAGATTTACTGTGAAGAGCAAAAGAACAAAGCTTCCACAGCATGGAATCCCTGATCGGGTGGCCGCTGCTGGCTGGGGCATGGCCAGCTTTTATTCCCTTATTTGTCCCCGCCCATGTCCTGCTGATTGGTCCATTTTACAGAGTGCTGATTGGTCCATTTTACAAACCTCTAGCTACAGAGTGCTGATTGGTGCATTTCTATACAGCACTGATTGGTGCATTTTACAAACTTCTAGATAGCTACAGAGCGCTGATTGGTGTGTTTTTACAGAGCACTGATCGGTGAATTTTACAAACCTCTTGTGAGACAAAAAAGTTCTCCAAGTCCCCACTCGACCCAGGAAGGCCAGCTGGCTTCACATCTCAAAAGGCTGACCCTTCCCCCGCCGCAAGTGAGAGGATTCCTCCTTCTTGTCTACTCCAAACTGGAGTGTCAGCTTATTTTTTTCTGCCTTCAAACTTGACCTGAAACTTTGGCTCTTCCCGAGTGCTGAGCTTGCTGGCCCTTGGTCTGGAACTAAACCATCAGCTCTCCTGGGTCTCCAGCCTGCCAACCCACCCTGCAGATTTTGGGACTTTACCCAACTCCGTGATCCCATGAGCCAGTTCGTGTGTGTGTGTGTGTGTGTGTGTGTGTGTGGTTTATAATGTAGAGTTCTCTGTTCCTCTGGAGAACTCTGATCAATGCAGGAAGAGTCTGTTCACTGCCTCTTCCAGCTTCCATTGGCTGCTGGCATCCCTCGGCTTGTGGCCGTATCACTCCAAGCTCTGCTTCTGTGGCCACATTGCCTCCTCCTCTTCTTTGTATGCCTATTTTATAAGGGTATGACAGTCAGTGGACTTAGGGATCACTCAGATAAGCCAGGATAATTTCCTCATCTCAGGATTCTGACTTAGTTACATTTGCAAAGACTTTTTTTTTTTCAAATAAGGTCATATTCACAGGTTCCAGAGATTTGGACATAGTCTCATCTTTTAGGGGGCCACCACGGCCCTACTTCAGATCCCAGCTCCATGAGAGTGAGGAGCCCTCTGGGAAGGGAGACAACAGTCCAGGGGGTCTGGTGAGCAGGAAACTTGTTTTTCATGGTAACCCTTTCTGCAGTGTTCGGCTTCTTTCCCATAAACATGTATTACCTCTTTTCACAAAACTCAAACAATCAGCAGTAATGCAGCTAGCCAACTTTTTAAGCACCTTAAAAGGCCTTCTGTACACATCATTTGACTACAAGCTGGCTGCCCTTCTGAGAGTCCCTGACTGGAGTGTCCCGCTCCCCAGGGCAGGGTGGTCCTAAACGTGTTTTGGAGCTGGACCCAGAGAAGAACATGCCTACGGGGTCTTCAATCCATATTCAAATAAAAAATGGTAACTTTCTGATTCACTAAGCATTTGACTCAAGATAGTCACAACATTGCAGCGTACTCAAAGCAGGTTACACACTTACATTCTGCATCATGAGAATATCTTTTCTAGTGTTGTCCATGCAATAGAAATAGCTTCCAATGTAGAAACAACAACCCACAGTCAGAGGCCAAAGGCGTCTTGGCAGGATGGGCTGCAGCTTGGTTCCCATGTAACCCAGGCAGGGTGGGCTGCAGCTTGGTTCCCATGTAACCCAGGCAGGGTGGGCTGCAGGTTGGTTCCCATGTAACCCAGGCTGGGTGGGCTGTAGCTTGGTTCCCATGTAACCCAGGCAGGGTTCTTTGAAGGCAAACACACTTTTGCTCACACATTCAATGTGTCGGAGTTGTCTCTGCTTCCTTAAGAAGCGGTTTCTCTCCCCTCTTTTCTCTCTCTCACCTGGGTTTGTTTGTCCATGAGAGGGGCTTGGATAAGTATATTTCTTTCTTCTCTATCTCTCTCTCTCTCTCTTTTTTTTTTTTTTTTTTTGAGATGGAGTTTTGCTCTTGTTGCCCAGGCTGGAGTGCAGTGGCGCCATCTTGGCTCACTGCAACCTCCACCTCCTGGGTTCAAGGGATTCTCCTGTCTCAGCCTCCCGAGTAGCTGGGATTACAGGCATGCGCCTCCACACCCAGATAATTTTTTATATTTTTAGTACAGAAGGGGTTTTTCCATGTTGGTCAGGGTGGTCTCGAACTCCTCAACCTCAGGTGATCCACCCTCCTTGGCCTCCTAAAGTGCTGGGATTACAGGCATGAGCCACCGCGCCCTGCTTTTTCTTCTTAAATCACCAAAAGAAAAGGATCTGGGAAAATCTGACAATAAATGGCAACTGGCACTGTCCTCAGGGTGGGGAGATGTTGAGGAGTGGTGGGGACTGTGACAAAGAGTTCAGCGCATGCCTCGTCTAAGGGACGGCCACTCTGGAATACGTGCCCATGGATGCCACAGCTTCTGGTTTTTCAGGAGAAGCTTAGCATTCAAATTTTAATGTAAACCCTTCCAATAATTTAGTGTAGGAAACTGATTTAAATCTTTTCAAACTGCTGTGTAGGCCAAATAAAATGCACTCTGGTCGGATTTCGCCTGCAGCCCTCATGTTCAAACCTCCCTCCTAATGCGTTAGTGCTTTAAGTTGCTGACCAGCCTTGAGCTATGTTTTCACCTCTACTTTCATATCAAAGCAAATCCTTATTTATTTATTTTTTTCATTTTTTCTCAATTCTTCAACTAACAGCTTCATGTGGTAGTAACCAAGCGGCCAAGGCAGTGTCCTGGGACGGGGATTCGTAGCCTGGGGAGATACAAGCAGGAAAATGGGCTCCGCTCAACTGGGCAGGTGGGAGATCTGTCCGGCATTGGCTGGAGGGGCAGCGGCTGCTCCCTGGCTAGCTGCCTGGTTGTTTTGGACATTTGCTTGTGTAGACTGTTCTGTTCTCAACCTAATGATGCCATTTTTAGTGACTCATTAGGATCCTCATTAAGCGTTGTTAGCACATCAAAACAACGTTGGTGAGGGCTGGCAGAGGGCGGCTTCCTGGACATTAGCTGTTGTCTGAATTTCCCTGGCAGCAAGGAAGGGACAAAATGGCAATGCACAGATTCCCAAATGCGTCAGTTCAGAGGGTGCTGTTTCTTTGGCAAGCACTTATTGAGCACCTACTGTGTGTATGCATGGGCATACAGTGGCTTCCTCTGGTACCAGAATGAAATGCAAAATCATGATGTCCCACCCTCTCCCTGGCTCATCCACTCCAGCTATGCTGACCTTTCTGCTCCTCCAATGCACTGCCTAGGCCCTGAGGCCTAGGCACTTGCTGTGCCCCTTTTGGTATGCTCTTCCCAGGCCTCAGCCCCAAATATCCCATTTCTGGAGAGACGGCCCCTGACTCCCTGTCTGCTGCTGACAAACCCTCACCCGTTACCCTCCAATCCACTGTCCTATTTTATTCACTACATGATTATTGTACTTATGTGCTTACTAGTTTACTGTCTGTCTCCCTCCACCAGAACATCAGCTGCACAAGGGCAGGGACCTGGTCTGCTGGGTCTCCAGCCCCCACAAGAGTGCCTGGCACATAATAGGTGCTCAATTAATACAGGTTGGTGCAAAAGTAATTGCCACTTTTGCCATTGAAAGTAATAACAAAAACAGCAATCACTTTTGCACCAACCTGGGTTTTTTTTTTTTTTCTTATTTTGAGACAAAGTTTCACTCTTGTTACCCAGGCTGGAGTGCAATGGCGTGATCTGGGCTCACAGCAATCTCCACCTCCTGGGTTCAAGTGATTCTCCTGCCTCAGCATCCCAAGTAGCTGGGATTACGGGCATGTACCACCACTCCCAGCTAATTTCAATTTTTTAGTAGAGACGGGGTTTCACCACATTGGTCAGGCTGGTCTCGAACTCCTGACCTCAAGTGATCCGCCCACCTCAACCTCCCATAGTGCTGGCATTATAGGAGTGAACCACTGTGCCCGGCCCAACCTGTTTAACAAATACAAAACAATGAAAAAATAGCCCATCCTCTCAGCCCAGGGTCACAGATGATCTGGTATGCCCTGTACACCCCCCATTGTGCATCTCCGAGCAGTACAGCTTGTGGCTTTATTAAAGAAATCTGAGATCATTCTGAAGGAAAGATAGCATGAGATAACGTGTTAATTTCTTTAGTTCACAATTCCCTTCAGCAAAGAATACCTGTGCAGGAGCCCTGGCCCTGGCCCCTGCCTCTCCCCGACTCTGGTCAGCGCCTGGAGCGAGCCTCAGGTGCTGTTGGCAGCGGGCAGAGATCAGGCAGGGGCATCCCAGGGCCAGGCTCTGCCAATAGATTATTTCTCTGAGTAATTAAGATGGAATTAAAAATTAATTCTTTCCTTCAGCCTGATTGCATTTCAAGGGATAAACTGAGTGTTATGGCTTTTGTGTAGTTTTTCTACCTAAATTAAATTGGATTGTGTTTTCAGAGATGGAGGAAATGAAATACTAAGATTAATCCAGCAGCTAAGAATCCCTGGGGAGGGAACCTGGTGATTCTGCCCTGAATGAACTTGAAGGTTTGGCTGCTCTGGCCATCACAGTGGACGTGGCTCCCCAGGGAGCAACTTGAGTCCGTGCCAGGGACCCAGCAATTCCAATCTGCTCTTGTCCCTGAAATGCAGGACATCAAGCTACCTTGTCTACTCCCCCTGGAGAATGAGCTGGATTGACCCGAGTGAGCCCATGCTCCCAGTCAGTTCTGCCATTCAGTTCTGCCATTTACTGGTGGCAGTTCATCTCGTGCATCCCTCTCTGAGCCCCAGCTTCCTCCTCTGTGACAAGGGTATAAACCATGACTTTACAAGGATTGGAGGCATTATATGACAATGAGGTGAGCCCAGGTGCATAGGCATTCAATAAATGCCTGAGTCCACCCATCCACCAACTCCAGGCTGTAGAATGAGTTTCCTTCCCTTCTTCTAAAATATATTCATTTGTTCACTCATTCATTTATTGATTTATTCACTCACTCATTCATTCACTAGGTAGTGCATTCCCATGATTAAAAAATCAAAAGGTAGAAAAGCCCTATGGCAAAAATCTTACTCAAGCCACTGCCCCACAGCACTAGCTAGCTCCCTTGTACAAAGGTAGCTAGTATTATCTGTGTCTTGTTTATCCTTCCAGAAATATTTTATGTGCCCATGAAAAAATATGTTTGCATTACTTCTCCTCTTTTTGTTTCACAAATGACAGTGGGTTAGATGCATCCTTTGGCTCTTGCTTTGTTTTTCCTCCACAATATATTTTGGAAAATATTCCATATTGGTGCATAACCTAATTCCTCAGTCATTTCCACACCTGGATAGTTATCTATTGCATGGATGTTTCATGGTGTATCTAACTAGTCTCCTGTTAATGGACATTCATATTGTTTCCAACCTCTTGTTGCTTCAAACAGTACTGCAATAAATAACCTTAGACAAAGTAATTTTTCTCATATGCATATATCTCTCTAAGGTAAATTCCTAAGCATGAAAGTGTTGGTCAAAGAGAATAAACTACATTTGTTAAAAATAAAAACTGTGTCTAGGGGAGAGGGAATGGATACAAGAAGAACCATAGAATATTTGTAAAAGTTGATGCTGATGGTTACATTTGACTTCATTATATAATTCTTTCTACTCTTGTCTATATTTGAAAATGTCAGCCGGGAGCGGTGGCTCACGCTTGCAGTCCCAGCACTTTGGGAAGCTGAGGTGGGCGGATCATGAGGTCAGGAGTTTGAGACCAGCCTGACCAGCACAGTGAAACCCCGACTCTACTAAACATACAACAGATTAGCTGAGTGTGGTGGCAGGTGCCTGTAATCCCAGCTACTCGGGAAGCTGAGGCAAGAGAATCGCTTGAACCCAGGAGGCAGAGGTTGCAGTGAGCCAAGATCGTGCCATTGCACTCCAGCCTGGGCAACAGAGCTAGACTCCGTCTCAAAATAAATAAATAAATAATAAAGAAAGAAAATGTTCATAATTAAAAAAAAAAACTGTAAAAAGAAATGGGATTTCCTGTCCTTTATCTTCCAGTAAGGAGCTTGAAACTCATCCCTGTCATCCACACAAGAAAAAAGCTGAACAAACTGAAAATCAACAACGTTTCTTGGATTCCTCAGAGATCTGAGGTCACAGGGCAAACTCTTGCACCAAAATTGACAGATGGATACAGAGAATCACAACTTACCAGAGCAGAACCTCTGGTAGAACAATTCTGTGATAGGAAAGCCTAGACTGTAATTGATGGATTGCTGGAGGCTCCGTGTAGACAAGTTTGAGAGTTAAAAACTCCACGGGGTCGAGTCCTAGGGGATGTCACCCTACCCCACCTCACTTATGTGAGTTTTACCTCCAGAAGCCCTGCCAGGTTCTCAAAGTGAAGATTGAAGAAAAAATCCCCGTGTGCTTTTAGCAGATGGGGGAGAAAAGCGGCCATTTTGAAATGTGCCAGAGCATTCTGTTCTTAACCAAACCCTGCCCTAAAAGGAAACGATTTTACCAGAGCTTAACTGACCTGGGGGAAGGAAAATACCCAACTCTAGGCCCCCTACCCCAGTTTTTGGCATGAGGGGAAGGAAATTCTCAACTGCAGCCAAATCTATCCTTCTTGTGCCACCCAAGAGGGAAAGGTGGGAATAACTGAGAGGCATTGTGAGGATCACAACCCAAGGGCACAGGCTCGATAAAAGACTGAGACCTAATGATAGGGCTATAGAATCCTTCTCTAACTTCCACACCATACCACTACTCACTAAAGACCTTATCACAGTTCCTTTTACTTAATACATCAAGTCCAGCTTTCAACAAAAAATTACAAGGCATGCTAGATGGCAGAAACATAGTTTGAACAGACAGAACAAGCATCAGACTAGATTCAGACATGGCAGGGATGTTGGAATCATCAGATGAGGAATTTAAAATAACCATGGTTAATATGCTAAGGGCACTAATGCAAAAAGTAGACATGCAAAAGCAGATGGGTAATGTAAGCAGAGAAATGGAAATTATGAGAAAGAATCAAAAAGAAGTGTTAGAAATGAAAAATACTGTAACAGAAATGAAGACTGTCTTTGATGGGCTCATCAGTAGACTGGACACAGCTAAAGAAACAATTAATGAGCTTGAAGATATGTCAGTAGGAGCTTACAAAATTCAAATGCAAAGAGAAAAAAAGACTGCGGGAAAAAATGAAACAAACTATCCAAGAATTTTTAAGATAATTACAAAAGGAGGTAACATATGCATAGTGGGAATACCAGAAAGAGAAGAAAGAGAGAAGAACAGAAGAAATATCTGAAGCAATAATGATGACTGAGAATTTCTCAAGGTGAATCTCAGACACAAAACCACACATCCAGGAAGCTCAGAGAACACCAAGCAGGATAAATGCCCAAATAGTTACATCTGGGCATATCATATTCAAATCGCAGAAATTCAGGAACAAAGAAAAAAATCTTGAAAGAAGCCAGAGGGAAAAATCTCTTACCTATAGAGGATAAGGATAAAAATTACATCAGATTTGTCTTCAGAAATTATGAAGTCAAGAAGAGAGTGGAGTGAAATATGTAAAGTGTTCAAAGAAAAAACCTACCAACCTGCAAATCTGTATTCAGCAAAGTTATCCTTCAGAAGTGAAGGAGAAGTAGACTTTCTCAGGCAAACAAAAATTGAGGGCATTTATCACTATTAAACCTGCTTTGCAAGAAATGTTAAAAGAAGCTCTTCAGAGAGAGGAAGAATGATATGGGTCAGAAACTCAGATTTATGTAAAGAAAAAAGAGTGTTAGAGAAGGAATAAGTTAAGGTAAACACTTTTGTTTTTAATTCTTAATTGATCTAACGAATAAAAGTTTAAGATAATAGTAGTAACAACATATTTGGTGACCATAGCTTGTAGATAAGCAAAGTAAATTGCTGAATGACAGAAGTGAAGGATGGAGGAATTAGGAATATTTTGTTACTATAAAGTTACTTGCACTACCCATGAATCAGTACAGTGTCATTTGAAAGTGAACTTGGATTCATTGTAAGTGTATATCACAAATTCTGGGGCAACCAATAAAAAAATTTTTTTAAGTATAATTGATGTGCTAAGAAAGGAGAGATTATAGAATCATATCAAATGCTCAATTGAAACCACAAAAGACAGAAAAATAGTAGAAGACAAAAATAGAAACAGAGAACAAGGGCAATGAATAGAAGATTAGCAAATATGGTAGATATTAATCCCACTATGTCAATAACCACTTTAAACATTAATGGTATAGCAATTTTATTCATAATTGTGAAGACTCGGCAGCATCCGTGTATTGATACCCTTCAGTAAATGAATGGATAAATTACCTAAACAAGGGAATATTATTTAGCACTGAAAGAAATGAGCTATTAAGCCACTAAAAAACATGAAGGAATCTGGAACGTCTGCTGCTAAGTGAAAGAAGCCAATCTGAGTTCCAACCAGATGACTTTGGGAAAACTCAATGCTATGGAGACAATAAAATGATCAGTGGTTGCCAGGGGTTGGGGGGAAGGAGGGATGAATGAGTGGAGCGCAAAGGACTTTTAGGACAGTGAAACTACTCTGTATCAAACTATAATGGTGGACACATGGCATTATACATTCATTCAAACCCACAGAATGTACAACACCAAGAGTGAACTCTAATGTCAACTCTGGACTTTAGTGATTACAGTGTTTTACCATGTGTAGGTTCATCATTTATAACAAATGCACCAGTCTGGTGGGGGACGTTGATAATGGGGGAGGCAGTGCATGTGTATGGGCAGGGGGTATATGGGACAGTTCTGTAACTTTCTCTCAATTTTGTTGTAAACCTGAAACTGCTTTTTAGAAAATAAGGCTTTAAAAAAACCTCAGAAAATAGCAAATGTTGATGAGGATGTGGAGACATTGAAACTCTTGTGCACTGTTGGTGGGAATGTAAAAAGGTGCAGCTGCTATGGAGTACATTATAGTGATTCCTCAGAAAATTACAAGTAGAATTACCATATGGGTATTTGCCCAAAAGTAATGAAAGCAGGGACTTGAGATATTTGCACACTCATGTTCAAGCAGGGACTTGAGATATTTGCACACTTGAGTTCATAGCAGTATTATTCACAATAGCCAAAGAGTGGAAGCAACCCAAGTGTCCATCAATAGACACAAATGTGGTCTATACATGCATGGAATAATACTCAGCCATAAAATTCTGACATGTGCAACAATATGGATGAATCTTGAGGATAATTTGTGAGTGAAATAAGTCAGGCACAAAAGGACAAATACTGTATGATTCCACTTACATGAGTTATCTAGAGCAGTCCAACTCAGTCCAACTCACAGAGACAGTAGAATCATGGTTGCCAGGGGCTGGGGGGAAGGTATAATGGAAGTTGTTATTTAATGGGTATAGAGTTTCAGACTTGCCAGATGAAGAGTTCTAGAAATGGATGGTGATAATGATTGCACGACAGTGTGAATGCCCTGAATGCCATTGAATGATACACTTAAAAACGGTGAAGATGTAAATTGTATTAAGACTTTAAATTTAAAACTTTAAAAATTAAAATCTTTTAATTTTACCACAATTAAAAGATCGGCCGGGCATGGTGGCTCATGCCTGTAATCCCAGCACTTTGGGAGGCCAAGGCGGGTGGATCATCTGAGGTCGGGAGTTCGAGACCAGCCTGACCAACATGGAGAAACCCCGTCTCTACTAAAAATACAAAAATTAGTTGGGCGTGGTGGTGCATGTCTGTAATCCCAGCTACTCGGGAGGGTGAGGCAGGAGAATGGCTCGAACCCGGGAAGTGGAGGTTGTGGTGAGCTGAGATCGTGCCATTGCACTCCAGCCTGGGCAACAAGAGTGAAACCCCATCTCTAAATAAATAAATAAATAAATAAATAAATAAAAATAAAAGATCAGCGGTTGCCAGGGGTTTGAGACAATGGAGGTGTGAATTGGAGCACAGGGGATTTTAGGGCAGGGAAACTGTTGTGTATGGTACTATAGTAGCAGACATGTGTCCTTCTATACTTGTCCAAACCCATAGAATGGAGAACATCAAGAGTGAGCTCTCACAGAAACTATGGACTTTGGGTGATAACGATGTGTTAACAGAGGTCCATCGATTGCAGCAAATGTACCACCTGATGCAGGATGTTGGTAGTCGGGGAGGCTGTGTGGTCACCGGATGAGGCAGGCCAGAGGGCGCTCTATGGGAGCTCTCTGTACTTTCTGCTCCATTTTGCTGTGAACGTAAAACTGCTCTAAATAAAGGTTTATTAATTAAAAAAAAAACATAGACTCTACAACTCAAAGAGTGAGCCCTAATGTAAACGATGGGCTTTAGTTGATAGTGATGAGTCAGCGCTGATTCACGGACAGGTGCATGGTGGGGATGTGTAGTGTTGGGGGAGGCTAGGGGGAGGGGCATGTGGGGATTCTCTGTACTTGATGCTCACTTTTGCCATGAACCTAAAACTGCTCTCAAAAAATAGTCTATTACTTTTTTTTGTTTTTTAAGATATGTGCATTTGTAACTTGGTAGATTGTCAAATCTCCCTCTGCAGGGGTTGTGTGCTTGCAATGTGTGACAGCACCTGTTCACCCACCCCAGCACACAGCGCCATCCAGCTCTTGAATCTTTGCCAGTTTTTGGTGTCTTGGCATAATTTTTTTATGAACAAAGTTTTTTATCTAAGTCTCACATACTTACAGAAAACGGCACAAATAATAAGTGTACACTTTGATAAATTTTCACAAAGTGAACTTATATGGTAGACAGTACCATGATCACGATATAGAACATTATCTGAGAGTCCAGAAGCCTCCTCACCCCCTTCCAGTCACTATCTTCCCTCCCCAAGGTAACATTCAACCTGACTCCTATCACCATAGATTAGTTTTGCCTCATTTGCCTTTTATATAAGTGGAGTCATACAGCCCATACCCTTGTGCCAGGCATCTTTCATTCAACGTAACATCTGTGAGATTCATTCTTGTTGTGTAGTTGCAGTTCATTCATTTTCATTGGCGCATAGTATTCCACTAAAGGACTATGCTGCAATTTATTTATCCATCCTACTATTGATGGTCATTTGGGTTGTTTCCTGTTTGGAGCAAATAGTGATGCAGTAAACCTTCTTGTACTTGTCTTTTGGTCCAATATATACTCATGACTGTTGGGGAAACATCTAGAAGTAGAATTGCTGGACCATAGGACATGCATATGTTCTGCTTTAGTAGATAATGCTACACAGTTTTCCAAAGTAGTTTTTTGATTTACAATTTTGCTGTGATAAGAATTCCACGAGATCTATATCCTCATGAACACTTGAAAATGACAGTCTTTTTAACTTTTGGAGTAGTTATCTCAAATGGTTTTAATTTGCATTTCCCAGATGACTAAAGAAGGTTAGCGCCCTTTCATATGTGAAAATGCCAGTCTTTTTAACTTTCGGAGTAGTTATCTCAAGGTGGTTTTAATTTGCATTTCCCAGATGACTAAAGGTTAGTGGCCTTTCATATGTGTGTAGAGAGTCTTTCTTATGAAATGCCTGTTCAAATCTTTTACTGAGTTCTCTGTTGAGTCTTCCTTTACTTATTGATTTGTTGGAGTTCTTTGTATGTACTGGATAAAGGTCTTTTGTAAGCGACCTGGCGCAGTGGCTCACACCTGTAATCCTAGCACTTCAGGGGGCCAAGGAGGGTGGATCACTTGAGGTAAGGAGTTCGAGACCACTCTGGCCAGCATGGTGAAACCCTGTCCCTACTAAAAACACAAAAAATTAGCTAGGCATGGTGGTGCACTCCTGTAATCTCAGCTACTCGGGAGGCTGAGACAGGAGACTGGCTTGAACCTGGGAGGCGGAGGTTGCAGTGAGCTGAGATAGTGCCATTGCACTCCGGCCTGGGCGACAGAGTGAGACTTTCTGTCTTGCTTTGTAAGTGATATGTACAGAAGATATCTTTCACTTTCTGGGGCTTGACTTCTCATTGTATTAATAGTGTCTTTTTTTTTTTTTTTTTTTTTGAGACAGAGTCTCACATTACCACACTATCACACTCGGCTAATTTTTGTATTTCAGTAGAGACGGAGTTTCACCATGTTGGCCAGGCTGGCCTCCAACTCCTAACCTCAAGTGATCCACCCTCCCTGGCCTCCCAAAGTGCTGCGATTACAAGCATGAGCCACCGTGCCCAGCTGTGTGTGAATAATGTCTTTTGATGGATAGAAGTACTTGATTTTAATGCAGTCCAATTTATCAATACTTTTCTTGATGCTAGTGCCATTATATCCTATATAATAAGCCTTTGCCCTGACCAATTTCACAAAGATATTCTCCAATGTTATTTTCTAGGAGCTTTATTATTTTACTTTTCATATAGTATAAAATAAGAGCTAAGAATGATTTTGTCCATGTGAATATCTAGCTGACCCTGCACCATTTATTGAAGATCTTTATTATTGGCCGGGCACAGTGGCTCATGCCTGTAATCCCAGCACTACTTTGGGAAGCCGAGGCAGGCGGCTCACAAGGTCAGGAGATCAAGACCATCCTGGCTAACATGGTGAAACCCCGTCTCTACTAAAAATACAAAAATTAACCAGGTGTGGTGGCAGGCGCCTGTAGTCCCAGCTACTTGGGAGGCTGAGGCAGGAGAATGGCGTGAACCCGGGAGGCGGAGCTTGCAGTGAGCTGAGATTGTGCCACTGCACTCCAGCCTGGGCAACAGAGTGAGACTCCATCTCAAAAAAAAAAAAAAGAAGATATATTATTTATTAAAGGATGAGCTCAAACTTTCCCACCACTCTGTCATATCAACTTTGTAAAAAACTCAAATCCTCACCTGTATGTGTGTATCTGTTTCTGGACTTTATTCTGGCCCATCGTCTACCCTTATGCCAATATTATACTTTTTTTAATGATTGTAGTTTTATACTGTTTTGATATCTGATAGTATAAGTCCTCCCACTTCGTTTTGTCTTCAAGATTGTTTTGACTATTTTCCACGCTTTATGTTTCTATATAAAGTTTAAAATTAGCCTGTCAATTTACACACACACACACACACACACCCTGTTGATTTTTATTGAGATTTCATGGAATCTGCAGGTCAATTCTGGGGGAATCGACATCTTTATAATAATGAGTCTTTCACGCTACAAACATTGTATCCCTCCATTTACTTAGGTCTTCTTTAATTTAATTTCTCTCAATAATGTTTAGTAGATTTCAGCATAGAAGTTTTATTCTGATATTTTCCTGTGGATTTTCTGAATACATAATCATGTTATCTATGAATAATGACAGATTTATTTTTTCCTTTCCATTTTGTTTACTTGCCTTATTGCACTGACCAGGACCTCCAGTACAGTGGGTAAGAATTTAAAAGAAGCAGAGAAAGTAGACAACCTCGTCTCATCCATAATTGCAGGCAGAAAACTTTTAATATCCATCATTAAACATGATATATGCTATACATGTCTTATACATAACCTTTGTCATATTAAATACGTTTCTGTCGATTCCTAGTTTGCTAAGAGCTTTTTAAAATTGTAAATAGGTGTTGATTTTTATCAATTGCTTTTTCTGCATTTGTTGAAATGATTACACAATTTTAGCCTTTATTCTGTTAGTGTGGGAAATTACACCCTTCTTTTTTTTTTAAAGCCAGCCTTGCATTCCTTGAATAAACTCAAGTTGGTGGTGATGCATTGTTCTGTGTTTCTGGATTCAGTTCACTAATAATTTATTCAGGAGTATATGTCTGTGAAAGAGATTGCTGTGTTCATAAGAGAGATTTTCTTTTCTTATGCTTTTCATAATCAAGTTTTAATATGAAGGCTATGCTGGCTTTATATAAAATAATTGGAAATTATTTCTTTTCTTCTATTCTCTGGTGAACTATATGTAAGGTTGGTGATATTTCTTCCTTATATGTTTGGAAGAATTATTCAATGAAGACATACTGGCGCAGGGGTTTTCTTTGTGGGAAGGGTTTTAGCTACAAATATAATTTATTTAATGGATAGAAGAATTTTCAGATTTTCTGTTTCTTCTATCAGTTTTGGTAAGTTGTGTTTAGCAATTCTTCTATTTTATCTAAAATTTCAAATTTTCTAGCATACAGTTATTCATAATATCCTCTTATTTTTAATATATGTAGGATCTCTAATGATGTTCCTCTTTTCATTTCTGATATTAGCTAGTTGTGCCTTATCTTGCTGTCTCTTAAAAATCGGTCTTGCCAGGCATGGTGGCTCACATCTGTTATCCCAACAATTTAGGAGGCTGAGGCAGGAAGACTGCCTGAGGCCAGAAGTTCGAGACCAAACTGGGCAACACAGCGAGACCTTGTCTCTATAAAAAATTTTAAAATTAGCCACATGCAGTGGTGTGGGCCTGTAGTCCCAGCTATGCAGGGGGGCTACTTGAGCCCAGGAGGTCAAGGTTACAGTAAACTATGATTGTGCCACTGCACTCCAGCCTGGAGTCTTTGCAAGAGACCCTGTCTAAAAAAAGAAAGAAAAAAAAAGTCGAAAGAAAGAAAAAGAAAAAAATAATCAGTCTTCTAGGAGTTATCACTTTTATTCCTCTTTAAGAAAACATTTGACTTAACTGATCCTCTCTGTTGTTTCTTTCCTGTTTTATTAATTTCTGCTCTTATTTTTTTCTTCTAAGTTTCTTTAAAGGATAAATATGCTGTTCTTTTTACATCTTATTTATTTTCAGTCTTCTTCCTTTTTAAATGCTACCTCTAAGCATGACTGTAGCTGTACCTACACAGGTTTTAATATCTTGTGTTTTCATTATCATTCTGCTTAAAATGCTTTCTAATTTTCTTTTCTTTCCTTTTAATTGTTATTTTAGGTTTGGGGGTACATGTGAAGGTTTGTTACATAGATAAACATGTGTCACAGGGGCTTGTTGTACATACTGTTACATCACCCCACTATTAAGCTTAGTACCCAATAGTTATCTTTTCTGCTCCTCTTCCACCTGCCACCCTCCCTGCTCAAATAGACTGCAGTGTCTGTTGCTTCCTTCTTTGTGTTCATAAGTTCTTATCATTTAGCTCCCACTTATAAGTGAGAACATGCTGTGTTTGGTTTTCTGTTCCTGTATAGTTTGCTAAGGATGATAGCCTCCAGCTCCATCCATGTTCCTGCAAAAGATCTGATCTTGTTCTTTTTTATGGCTGCATAATATTCCATGGTGTATGTGTACCACATTTTCTTTATCCAATCTGTCATTGATGGGCATTTATGTTGATTCTATGTCTTTACTATTGTGAACAGTGCTGCAATGTGTGTACCCAGTAATAAGATTGCTGGTCAAATGGTAGCTCTGCTTTTAGCTCTTTGAGGAATGCTTTCCAATTTTCATGATTATTTTAATGTTGAGCTGAGGCTATTTAGAAGGATACTTTATAATTTCCAGACATTTGGGTTTTAAAAAGTTTTTTAAAAATTGTTTTTTAGCCTAACTCCTATGGTCAAGAATTTCAATCTTATGAAATTTGTTGAGACTTACTTTAAGGCCAAGATATGGTTCATTTTGATAAATGTTCCATGTGCACACACTCACACAAAATGTATATCAGAAGTTGTGGAGCTCAGTGTATTGTATATGTTAGTTAGGTCAAATTTGTTATATATATTATTCAAATATTCTATATCCTCACTGATTTTTTGGTCTGTCCTAAACATTATTGAGACGGCTATATTAAAATCCCTGGATGATGATTGTGAATTCCTCTATTTCTCCATTTAGTTCTATTCAGTTATTTATATATGTTGAGGTTATGTAATTAGAAATATAAAATATATAAAGAATTATTCTATTTTCCTAGTGGATTTAACCTTTATTATTAAGAAATGTCTCTCATTATATCTAACTAAATATTCTGCTTTGAAGCCCCCTTTATCTGATAATAATGTAACAACCTCAACTTTTTGCTGTTTTTAGTAGTTTCTTTGTAAATTTTTTTTTATGTTCACCTTTTTATATTGGAAGCTTATTTCCTGCAAATAACATATAGAATTTAAAAAATCAAATCTAACAATATCTGTCCTCTAATTGGAATACTCAGTTCATTTACATTTAGTGTAATTACTTCTACATTTGCATCTAAATCTACCACCTTATGATTGGTTTTCTATTTGTCCCATCTGTCCCTTGCCTTCTTTTGTATCAATCAAATACTTATTTTATTCCATTTTCTTTGCCTATTAGCTTATTAGCTTTGACAATTAGTCTAAAATTTCATCTTTGACTTAATCAAGTTGAATGTAAATTAATAATTTTATCCCCTCCCAGAGTCATAAGAACCTTATAACACTAAATTCTATTTACTCCTCTCCCACCTTTTATGCTGTTGTCATTTTGTATTTTCATTTGATTTTAAACCCTAAAATACATTTTTATTGTCTTATATAGTCAATAATAATTTCATTTACCCTTATATTAACATTTTCTGTTATTTGTCTTTCCTTCTTGCAACTTGATGTTTCCACCTGAGGTCATTTTCTTTCTGCCTGAAAAACCCCTGCTAGTACTGGCTTCAGTATGCATCTGTTAGTAATAAATGATCTCAGTTTTTGATAGCTGAAAATATCTCTTTATTATTTGAAGACTATTTTCAGTAGAATTTGAGGTTGGAAGTTCTTTTCTTCCAGTGTTTTCAAGTTATCAGTCCAATGTCTTCTTGATCTCATTACTTCTGTTGAGAAATCAATTATCAGTCTTATTGCTGTCGTTTGGAAGCAATTGGCATTTTATCTCTGGCTGCTTTTAAGATTTTCCCTTTGTCCTTGATTTTCAGTAGTGTTAAATTGGTATGTCTAGGTGTGGTTTTCTAGCTCTGCTTGAATTTGTGGCATATTATTATTATTATTATTTTTTTTTTGAGACAGAGTCTTGCTCTGTTGCCCAGGCTGGAGTGTAGTGGCACGATCTTGGCTCACTGCAACCTCCACCTCCCCAGTTCAAGTGATTCTTCTGCCTCAGCCTCCTGAGTAGCTGGTATTACAGGTGTGTGCCACCACACCTGGCTAATTTTTTGTATTTTTTTTTTTTTTTTTTTTTTTAGTAGAGACAGTGTTTCGCCATGTTGCCTAGGCTGGTCTTGAACTCCTGAGCTCAGGCAATCTGCCCGCCTCGGCCTTCCAAAGTGCTAGGATTACAGGCGTGAGCCACCGCGCCCAGTGCATGTTATCTTATATATGCTTTTAAGAAAATTCTTAGCCATTGTCTTTTCCAATATTATTTATGCCTTTTCTTCCTCTTCTGTCTTCTCTTTCCTTCCCTTCCTGGATTCCAGTTACATGTCATATTAGCCCTTTCACCATGACTCATATAGTTCTTATTCTGTTTTTTTTTTGTTTTGTTTTGTTTTTCTTTCTTTTCTTTTTTTTTGGGGGGGGGGAGGACAGGGTGTCACTCTGTCACCTAGGCTGGAATGCAATGGCACAATCAGAGCTCAATGCAGCCTAGAACTTCTGGGCTTGAGGGATCCTCCCACCACAGCCTCCTAGTAGCTGGGATTGTAGGTGCGCAACACCACATACCTGGCTAATTTTTTTACTTTTTGTGGAGATGAGGTCTCACTATGTTGCCCAGGCTGGTCTGGAACTCCTTGCCTCAAGCAATCCTCCTACTGGGGCCTCCCAAAGCATTGGGGTTACAGGCCTGAACCACCATGCCTGGCCTATTCCTTATTCTTGTATGTATTTTCCATTCTATATTTTCTTCTGATGCAATGTAAGATATTTCTTTCTGATCGATCTTACAAGGTGACTTCAGTGGTTTCTTAACCCATTATTTAGTTCTTACTTTTAGTTATTGTGTTTAACATTATGTTTCCCATTTTAAACAGTTTTATTAAATCATAATTGAGGGACAAAAACTGCACATATTTAAAGTATGCACCTTGATCAGATTTGACATATGCATTCACCTGTGAAACCATTGCTATAATGAATAAGTTTCCTCATGTCCTTAATCTGTCCCTCCCTGTCCTCTCTCCCTAGTCAACAACTGATCTACTTTTTATCACTATACATTCATTTGCATTCTCTAGAATTTTATATAAATGGAATCATACAGTAGGTATTTATTTTTGGTCTGGCTTGTTTTTAACTCAGCATAATTATTTTGAGATTCACCCATATGTTGCATCAATATGCATCACCCATGCTGTTATATCAACAGTTCCTTCCTTTTTATTGCTGAGTCGTATTCTATTGCATGGCATGCTACAATTCATTTATCACTGTCTGATGATGTTGAGCCTCTGGATTTTTACAGATGTTGGCTCTAACAATGACATTATTATGAACATTCATGGATGAATCTTTGTGTCAGAGTTCTAGTTGCTTCACATCCTCACCAACACTTGGTGTGATCAATGTTTTTAACATTAGTCATTCTAGTGGCTGGATGGTAGAATCTCATTGTGGTTTTTTCATTGGCATTTCCCTGATGATGAATGTTGTTGGGTGTCCTTTCCTGCATTTGTTTGACAACCATTTAACTTCTATGGTGAAATGTCTGAACAAATATTTTGCCCATTTAACAAATTGGGTTGTTTATCGTCTTCTTATTGAGCTGTAATAGTTTTCAATCTATTCTAGATACAAGTCCTTTGTCAGATATATATTTTGCAAATACTTTCCCCAGGTTTGCGGTTGGCCTTTTAATTTTTTATCACTGTCTTTTCCTCCCACTTTTAACAGCTTTACTAAAGTCTAATTTACACATTATACAATTCGTCCATTGTAAGTGTGCAGGTCAATGATTTTTAGTAAATAATTTGATTGTTCACCTATCACCACAATACCATTTTAGAACACTTTCCCTACCCCCAAAAGTTCCCCTGTGCCTGTTTATAGTCATGCCTCACTCTCATCATGGGCCTCAGACACTCACTGATATGCTTATTAGATATATAGTTTTGCCTTTTCTAGAAATTTCATATATATATATACGTATGTATGTATGTATGTATATAAACATACAGACTGGGTGTGGTGGCTCACACCTGTAATCCCAGTGACTCAGGAGGCCAAGGCAAGAGGATCGCTTGAGGCAGGAGTTTGGGCCTGGGCAACATAGTGAGACTTTGTCTTTACAAAAAATTTGAAAAACTAGCCAGGCATGGTGGAGGACGCCTGTAGTCCCAGCTATTCGGGAAGCCGAGGTGGGAGGATCACTTAAGCACAGGTGTTCAAGGTTATCGTGAGCTACTGCACTTCAGCCTGGGCAACAGAGTGAGACCTTGTCTCTAAAAATATATACACATATATCCTTTTGTGTCTGGCTTCTCTCACTTAGCATAATGTTTTTGAGATTCATCTATATCTTGTTGCATCTATCAATAACTCATTTCATTGCTGAGTAGTATTCCATTATGTGAATATACCATACTTTGCTTATGAATTTACCATTTGATGGACATTTGAATTGTTTCCAGTTTTTGCCTATTATAATTAAAGTTGTCATTAGCAATCACATGCAAGTCTTTGTGTGAACACATCTTTTCTTCTAGAAGAATTGCTAAGTCATATGGCAAGTATATATTTAAGAAACTGCCAAACAGAATAGTGTCTTTTAAAGACTAAATATTTTAAGCTTAGTGAAGTCCATTTTATTATTTTTCTTGTATATGTCATTGTTTTTGTCATATTTAAGAAAACTTTACCAAACCCAAGATTGCTAAGATTTTCTTCTAGAAGTTTTATAGCTTTGCTTTTACATTTTGGTCTATGATCCATTTCAAGGACCATACATCTAATTTTTTAGGCCTACTTTATGAGGATCATAGACCCTAATTTCAAGGATCATAGACCATTTCAGTTTGTATACGGTGTGAGATAAGGTCAAGGTTTCTTTTAAATTTTATTTTTATCTTTTTACATATGTTTATCCAAGTGTTCTAGCATCAGTTGTTGAAAAGAATATCCTTTATTCATTAATTGCCTTGGTATCTTTTTCAAAAATCAACAGCTGTGGTCTGTTTCTTGAATCATTCTTCTGTTCCATTGATCTAGATGTCTATCTTTATACCAATACCACACTGTCTTGACTATTGTAGCTTTAATAATGTCTCGAAATAAGGTAGTGTAAATTCCCCATCTTATTCTTCTTTTTCAAAATGTTTGGTTATTCTAGATCATTCCATAGAGATTTTAGAATGAGCTTGTCAATCTCCACCAAAAAAAAAAAAAATTGTTTTTATAGATGAGTTTGGGAGAATCAACATCTTAACCACATTGAATCTTCCAATCCATGAACGCAATGTATTTCTGTATTTATATTTCCTTTAATTTCTCTCAGCAATGTTTTGAGTTTTATATGTGCAGATCTTACACATCTTCTGTCAAATTTATCACCCCCTTTTTTATTTTTAGAATTTCCATTTGATTCTTTTTTCTAATAGTTTCTAGTTCTCTGCTGAAATTCCCGTTCTTGTTATCTAGCTTCTTGAATATACTAATTACAGTTATTTCAAAGGCCAACTATGGTACCTCGAATATCTGAGACCACGTGGATATGTTTGTAATGTGTTATTTTTCTCTTGGTTTTCATCCCGTTCTTGTATTTCTGCATTTCTGTTTTTCACTGAATATCAGACATAATAAATGAACATGGAAAAGGTAATTTGAGGCTCTGGATGCTGTTATCCTCCTCCAGGGAGGATTTACTTTAACTTCTGCTAAGCCAGGGGCAGCATCAATCTTAAATTGCATTTATCCAACCAGGAATTAAGATGATTTGAAACAGGCCTGCAGTCCCTGAAAGGGCCGGTTTCGTTCTGGCTAACTTACTTCTAGGGTATAGTGCTTTGGGATCCCGGATGAAAGCCTAGGCTATTTACCAACGTTCTTGCTTTTAGAAAAATTGTTCTGAAATACACAGAACATAAGATTTACCATCTTAACCCTGTTTAAGTGTGTATGTCAGTGCATTAAGTACCTTCCCATTGTTGTGCAGCCATCAGCACCATCCATCTCCAGAACTCTTTCCATCATCCCCAAGTGAAACGCCACATCTATTAAACACTAACTCCTAATTCCACCTCCTTCAAGCCCCTGGCAACTACCATTCCACTTTCTGTCTCTATGAAGGTGATTACTCTGAATATCTCACGTAAGTGGAATCATGCAGTATTTGTCTTCATGCAACTGGCTGACTTCACTTAGCGTAACGTTGTCTAGGTTCATCCACATCGTACCGTGTGTCAGAACTTCCTTCCTTTTTAAAGCTGAGTAATGTTCCCTTGAGTGTATATGCCACATTTTGTTTATCCTTTTTCATCTGTCGATGGGCGCTTGAGTTGCTTCTGCCTTTAAGCTATTTTGTCGTGCTGTTCTGAATATGGGGATATAGATAGGGTCCTTATTTCTCAAGAGGCCCTGGATTCCAGTTTTTGTCTCCCCAGCCCCATGAGATGGCTAACGTGCTTCTCAGCCTCTCAGGCACTGCTCAGAAGTGGCAAACACTGCAGGGGACAGAGCTCTGCCGAACAGCAGGCTCCCCTCTGTGAGCTTCCCTCCTCTCTGGGATCTGGGATCTGGGACCCTTGGTGCCTCTCCAGTATCTTCAAACAGCTGTTTCTGTAGTATTTCATCCAGCCTTCCGAATTGCTCCCAGCAGGGTGATTGGTCTGATGCAGGCTAGTCCATCATAGCTAGAAGCAGATGTGTCAGTATAATTTTAACGTGTGTGTCTATTATGCCCGGAGTTGAGCATCTTTTCTGATGTTTAAATGATGTTTGTATTTTCTCTGAAATCCTTACCCCGTTTTTCGACTGGTTCTTTCTTATTGATTTGTAGGCATGTGTTATACGTCCAGGAATTTAGGCTGTTGTTTTTGATCTAAAAATTGCTTTCTAGGGCCAGTTCTCACTTGCTGTATAATCTTAGGCAAGTCCCCTTCTCCTCTGAGACTCAGTCTCCTCGTCTGTGAAATAGGGTGAGAATGCTTGATTCACCACATGGTCTCAAAGTTTCCTTTTGATCTGCAATTCATGGATTAGTGACCTTCTACTTTGTAGGTGAGACCAAAGAAAAAATTGTTATTGAGACCAAAAAACATCCTCATTGCACTCTCCCTCCACATTCCATTGCACATATTTATTGTACTCTGATTTCTGGCTGCCCACGGGCTTTAGAAACATTGATCACAGAAGGCAGGAGCAGGGAGCTCAGAGTGTGTGTGCTTTCATGCTGAGGACCACGGCTATGTGACAAAAAGCCACATCTCCCAAACTTTAGTCATTTGCATGATACACTCATGATTTTCGCTATACCCTTGTACCACACGCGGTATTATTTACTTATTTGTTTCAGTTCATTTAAATACCTAGTTTCTCCTTGTCTTGAATAAGAATGTTGGAGAAATCACAGGTTTGCTGTGCTAGAGTATTTTTTCTGATACAGAGGAACAGAAAGGATCAGCGATGATCACTTAAAGTGCTGTTTGCATGCTCCTCCATCCTCCATGAGCAGCCCTGGGGACAGGACCAAGGGCCTGCAGTGCTCCCGGCGAACCCACGGCCTCCGCTCAGCTGCTGGGAAACTTTGCTCAAGCATTATTCAAAGTTACTCATTATTGCTGGAGCATTCCGACTGATCCACATGCTCAGAAAGCTCTGGCTTTGTGGCTGAGGATTGTTTTTGTGCAGAAATGTTTGCTTCCTTGGATGAAAGGGGGCCTGAGATGGCCCCCAGACAGAAGAGAACTTTGCCGTAGCCACCACCGGAGGTCTCTGGAAAATTTTCCCCTTTTGGAGGCTGCAATCTGCGACGCAGAGCCTTTCTCCTTCCCCTTCTGAAGTTGGCTATTGCTTTTAGCCCAGAGCCATTGCAAGTCTCAGAGAGCAAAGATACTGTGGGAGCCCTAAAATAAATTCTAAAGTCCAAAATGGAACACATTTAAAGTGAGCTCTGGAGAGAAAAATGGATAACGCTTTAGAGCTGTTTTCACAAAAGAAATCACCCAACCAATACATCATTGGGCCCTTTTAACTATGGCATCTGGATAGATTTAATTTTGACTTTTGACGTGACCAATCAACTCATACATAATCTCCAAGCCAGATAGTAACTACCTTGCCACCTTCTCTGTTTAGGGGCAGACTTGTTTCTTCAGCAAATACCAACGAAGACCTACTGAGTGGCAGTTCTCTGCGGGGCCCTGGGCTGCCAGTGGTGAGATAAAGCACACACAGGAAGCTTCTGGTCTGGTGGACAAATTGACCTCGTTCTGGGAAACTCCAGCACATCTTTGAGATGCTTTGGGCGGCAGAGCTGAACACCACTGGCCTGGGAGTTTCTAGGAAAAGCTTCCCGGACCACAGGGGCTCAGTGTCTGTGCTGTCCTTTCCGGAACCTTTCCCTCCTCCAGCGAGCAACCTGGCCCCCCACACTCACTGCAGCTCACGCCCATCCACTGATAAACAGGCACAGTCTCACTCCAGGGGCAGGGGCCTTGAGCAAGGTGAATGTGGATCTGTTGAGCCACACCATGAGCGCACTGTCATCTCCTGCGGGATCATCTACGGGGTAACCCCCAGAGTCAGGAAATGGATGTTGGTCTCAAAGGGAGCCCACCATTTCCCTAGACGGGTAGGGCTGACTCTGGCTTTGTGGCCAGGTGCTAATGTCCTGTAGGCGATTTCACAGCGGTTCCCACATAGCCTGGGGCAGGACCAGGCTTTCTCCTTGTCCTTATGCCCTGTCACCTTCTACATGTCCCACCCCCGAGGATGGCCTGAGTCAGGTGATGCTACGATTCCAGGGGCTTGGACAGCATCACTCCTATCCAGAACGCTGATGGGAAATGAGTGACCGCTGGCCGTTTGTGACCATTGGTGACTACAGAGGCCCTCAGAGAGACTCAGCTTCCAGATGACCACCTGGTGGTGCTCCTGGAAGAGAAAAAAGGAAGGGGGTGGTGGGGTGAAATGGGGCACACGACTTTCCCAGCCCTCCCACCTGCCGTCTCCCCCAGCCCCCGCTGGGTGTGTTGTCTGTGAACATGAGCCCCCCCACATCCATTGGCATCTCCTTCCAGAGGCTTTGGAGCCTTGACGCTGAGCCTCTGCAGCCTGAATGCCCGACTCCGCAGCAAGTGAGTCATGCATGGTGTGGAGGCTGGAAGAGGAAAGACACCCTCGGGGCAGGAGAAAAAATTCGGTTAGTGCAGGGGTGGGTGGGTGGGAGATAAACATGCTGATTGAAACGTCAACGTGAGTGAGCTCGTTCACCGAGCACCTTGCCAGGGTCCCACCAATGAGTCGGGAACGAGCCTATCACTAGAAACTAGGACTGTCGGCAAGGTCCAGAGAGGGGAAGGTCCTTGAAAGAGGCTCTCTGACCTTGGCCGTGAGGGCGTCACAGTGTCTGAGAGCGGACACCTCCACGGGGGTCCCGTGAGGGCCAGGAGTGCCCGGGCAAGGGGTGGTGAAATGCTCTCACCTCTGGGGCTGGGTGTAGCCTCCTCTTAGACAGGCCTGGAGAGGACAGGGCTGGTGCCCTGGGAGTGAGCTGGCCCTGGCTGGACAGAAACCTGAGTTTTGTGAATGTCAAGAGGATTCTGTGAGGCAAATGGAAGAAAAGGACACTCTTGGGTGCTTGTTGGGGCCTCCCTAAATCAGGAGGAAGCTGAGAAACCAGGCCTGGAGATGGGCAGGGAGTGAGAGGAAACCAGAACATCCCTGTCTGGGCGTTGTTGTGGCCACGGTGGGGAGAGGTGGGGCAGGCCGTCCTGCTGTCCCTGTGGGCCCTGAGATGCCCACTCCAGAGTCCGCGTCCCAGGAGCAGGCATCAGATGGGAGAGCTCAGGCTGGACACCTCCACCCTGGCTGCATCTGGGGTGCAGCAGGGGGAGCCTGGTGCTTTCACTTCTGCCTTGGGAGGTGGGTGGCTGGGTTATGCAGATCTAGAGGGAGATTTGGGGTGATATCCATGAAAAGGGTGGATTCTGAGCAGCCGGAAAATGACAAATGGCCACCGCTGCCCACAGGACCACTTTCCCACCTCTTGCATTTTCTTCTCACTTTTCCTTTTTCCCTTCATCACATGTAAGTTGTAACAAACAAGCTGGGTTCCCAGTCAGAGGCCCCACTGCCTCACCAGCTGCCTGGGAAAGGAGAGGAGTGTGACAAGAGAGGCTGCACACCCTGGGTGGTGGCCCCATGGGTGCCTGGCGTCCTGAGCGTGTCCTCCATGGCTGCAGTGGCATCTGGGTTTGGCCATCTACTGTCCTTCACCCGCTCTCATATTCCACTTTGGGCTCTGGGGGTGGGCAGGGGCCCCAGAAGATCACCATTCCATACCCCTGGCAGAGTGATTGGCCTGCAAAGGGGTCCCTGGTCCAGTTCTAGCCAAGACATTCTCCATCAGCCTCCGCTCTTCCTTTCAAAGTTGGCCCCAACAGGAGGGGAGTGCGAGGTATAGCAACCATCTTGCTGCCACAGCGAGGAGCGCAGAGCTTCTGAGGTTCCCCACACCCAGCCTGAGATTGAAACTGGTCCAACAGCAGCAAAGAGAGGGAGAAGCTGGGTCCTGAAAACCCCATTTGAGTCCTGGATCCAGCTGTGCCTGAAGACCACCCTGGGGCTTTTTAATTACGCAAGCCAACACATTTCCTTTTTTGCATAAGCCATTTAGAAAGGGTTTTCTGTCATTCGAGAACAAAAATGACTTGGCCAAGAAATACAATGGGGCAGAATGGATGAGAGAAAGAAGCTCTTAGGGCTCCCAAAGGCTCAAACAAGAGGCAGGAGTGTCTGTGTGTGCACATGCACGTGCACAAAACAATTTTTGTTTTAATTGGGGGCTGGGTGCGGTGGCTCACGCCCGTAATCCTAGCACTTTGGGAAGCCGAGGCGGGCAGATCACCTGAGGTCAGGAGTTCAAGACTAGCCTGGCCAACATGGCAAAACCTCATCTCTACTAAAAATACAAAAATTAGCCGGGCGTGGTGGCTGTACAGGTGGGATGCCTGTAATCCCAGCTACTCGGGAGGTTGAGGCAGGAGAATCGCTTGAACCCAGGAGGCAGAGATTACAGTGAGCAATCGTCCTTCCTGCACTGACACACATATCCACCAAGATCAGGCGGCTGCACTCCAGCTTGGGTGACAGAGCAAGACTCTGTCTCAAAAAAAAATACATACGTAAAATAAAATAAAAATAAAAATAACAAAATTTGGCCCTACTCTGCTAAAGGAACCTAGAGAAGGAGGTTTTCATTCTGCCTGAGCCAGAGCCTTAGAGCAAGAAGCTGCATCTTGGGAGACTTCTGTGCTCAGGGAGACAAGAACTGAAGTCTCTTCCTCAAGGGAGATGCGAAAGTCAGGGGGTCTCAGGCAGAGCCTCCTGTTCTGGCCTCCCGCTCTCACTGGGAGACCCTCCTTTTCCAGCTTTGGTGTCTTCTACTAATACGGGAGCTGCTTCTTTCCGCTGGCACATAACCTCATCTCTCAAATGCAACTCAGCTTTCAAAATCAACAAACAATACCGTGATGACCTGGTATTCCTGCCGGCTCTGTTGCTGCAGACCCTCGCCCCGCCCCCGCCTTTCCCTTCCCGGCCTCCTCAGTCTGAGAACAGAGTCCACCCTCTCTCTGGGACTGTTTTCCCTTCCCTCTGTGACCGCTGTCCACTCCCGCTGCTCTGTTGGAACCACTGTGCCTGCAGCCCCAGACACGGCTGGCAGAATCCCCTGAGTGGGTCATCCTCTCTGGTATCCACTCAGCTCTGCCCCCTCACCTACCAGCTTGCCCATCTCCAAAGCCAGTCCACATCCACCACCTGGGAAACACACACTCAAATCCACCCAGAACACCCCACATGGCCTGGTGGCTGACCTTCCACTCTCTTGCCCATCTGGGCCCTTGGTCCTGCAGTCTCTCTCTCTGACCTCGCCTTAGAGAGTGTGAGCCGTCCCAATGGCTCACTCCACCCACGTTACTCGGCTCCCTCAGATGGAAGGGGTCCTGATCCAGAGTGAGTGCTGGAGGAGCTGGGTTTTCTCTGGGCCACCGCCCCTTCCACACACCCAGTCCCCGCGCACACACACAGGCTCGTTCATTCACAAATCCCCACGCTCACACCCACAGGTGTCTCCCTGCGCACACACCCGCCCGCTTCCTTCCTGCATCGACACACACACACACACACACACACACACACACACACACACACTCCCACGGCTTCCCCTTCCTGCAGACATGCGCCCACACATCCCTAACACGGGATGGGAGGAAATTTTGCCTTCTGCAAGGAGTTTTTATCCTCAGGTGGGCGGGGTGGGGGGGATTAAGTATAGGCTATTTGCAAGTCTGAGGGAATTTACTTTGGCATATTGTATAATTCTAGAGAGAGGCAGGAAGTTGAAAGGGGAAAAGGTGGGGGCCAGAGAAACGAGGGAAGGGTCCCAGTAAATCATTGTTCCACCTTGCCATTCAGCCAGCACCTGGCAGCAGGGCCTGAAGACCCACTGACTGCTTCGTTAGCTTTCCAGGTGGCTCACCAACATACTCGGAACAATGAAAAACACTTGATCAATGTTTATTTCTGTCTTTGAATTCTATTTGCTGAGTTTGATTCAGTAAATGATTATGTATCATAATGCTTACTATTTGGTTGTTAGGTGTAGGCCTTTGTCAGATACCTCACTAAAAGCTCCACCTACAGCATTAATTTAGATCTTCGGAGCCCTATGGGTAGATATTTATATAACCCCCATTACACAGATGAGGATATTGAGGGTCCAATGTGCCCAAGGTCATACAGTGAAGGCGGCAGAACTGCAGGTTTGAGTTCAAGTCTGCAGACAATTCAGCCCTAATCTCAACCACCAAGATGTAATTAATGCCTTATGCTTTAGAATTCCCATTAGATCTGGAAATCTAAGATGGCTACAACATAACTTAGCAGTTCTTTGGGAGAATAAAATTGTCTGGTATGCATCTGTTAACACTTTGTTGTTCTGAGCCTTTCTTGTAAAATCCAGTAAATGTGAGCTTCCCAAGGCTCGAAACAGATCGGATTTATCCTTCCACCCAGGTATTCTGCAGAACATCACTTGGCCAATAGGAGGTGCCCAGCCAATGTTGAAAGTAAATTAAACGAAGTGAAATTCAGGTTTTTGCTCTAGATGTGTGCCAAATCAGCTCATTAGGGGACTGGCAACAACAAAATTAACATTGAGTGCTAAGTCCTTTAGAGGCCAAGAGGCCTGGCGGCTCTTCCTAGCTCTGTAGCGACTCTTAGCAAACTTGCAGAGCCCAAACGTGGTGAGGAAAGCCACATGCGGAATCCACGCTTGAGGCTGCACAGGTTGTGACCTGGAGAGCCATCTTCCAGATTCTGAACACCCATCTCTCCCTTGAGTCTGCGTTTCTCACAGGCCTGAGTCCTGCACACACAAACTTGTGTTTCTTACACACTCATAGGAAAAACGTGCCTTGCACACCTGACAACATGCTGCAGAGGAGGACGTGCAGTCTGGATGTAAATGTGGGTCTAAGCCACAGCAGGAGTCTTCTTGTCTGCGAGACGCGCCTGGCATTCACTGAGCAGGGCTGGCGTGAGCATGAGTGCTGGTCCACGTGAAGCGCTTAGCACGGAGCCTGGCACCGGGGGCGCTGGGGAAGACAGTTGATCCCAACCACTTTCTTGCACATTTCTGACACGGCTGCTGATTCCTGCCAGGCAGGCCCCGGGCGCCTGCGATTCAGCAAGACTTCCTCATCGCCTTTTTAAACCTGCTCTGCTCAAGCCTCAGCTCTTGGTGATTTCCTGAAGATGCTGCCACCCGGGAAGAGCCTCCCAGTCCTCAAATCCCGAGCCCATGCCTTTCATCCCTGCCAGGTTTCCATTTCCAGTTTGCTCCTAACCTGGCCCTTGTCCCCTGCCCCGGCCCCCCGGGACGGGCGAGAGCGAGCCAGACAATAGTAAATGGAATTCAGTCCCACACAAGGGGAAAAAAAAAAAAAAAAGATTATGAAAATGGAAAGTAAATAAATATGGATGTTGAGGACCTAATTCTGATAAGCGGATTTTCAAAATTAGCCATTTGCAAGAGTAGATTAAATGCGTTTAATGTGATGGGTGGAAGTAAGTCGATTAAGATGCACAGCAGACCCCATTTCAGCAGATTCCGGGGAGCAGGCCTCGCAGGCCCCCTTCACGCTGCGCATGTTTGCCGGGATAAACGCCGAATGCCTCTTAAGCGCACTAATTTGCCGTTGTCGTGCTGGTAAACAGGCCTCCTGGAAAGGGGCCACTCGCCGCTTCTGTACCCAAGGCGGACAGCGGAGCAGGGAGGGGCCGCCGGCCGGGCTGGGGCGGGAGGCCAGGGGCCAGCCCCGGGGGTGCGGGGGCTCCGCTCGCGGTCTGCAGGGAGGCTGAGAAGCGCCAAGGACAAAGGAATGGCACTGGATTTCCCCTCACCTTCCCCAGCCGGCCGCCCCCCACCCGACCCTCTGCAGAGAGAATTCTGGTCCCAGAGTACCTTGCAGCTCCTTCCATGGCAACGGCCGCCTCCCTCCCGCACCGCTTCGCCTCCTTCCTTCCTTCCCGCGCCTTCTCCCCGCAGCCCACACCAGAGCCAGGCCTCCCGAGGGCTCGGCGCACCCGCACCCCCGGGGCAGGGACGACGGCCAGTCCTTCCCCCCCGGAGGAGGGGCAAGCAGGCGCTCCCAACGCGTACGCCAGCCACACCTGCAAGCGGGAGAGGGCCAGATCCCCACACGTCCCTGCCCTGTCCTTCTCCGGGGCACCCACCACATTCGGGGGCCTTAGAGCCCTGAAAAGCCCGGCTGTGTTTCAGGTTTGAGGAAACAGATGAACCGCTTTACCGTGGCCCAGTGTTGGGGGATGGTGGGGTTGGGGGCGGGGTGGGGGGACGGTGCAGGTAGAAGCCAGTGATCTGAATAAACACCTCCTGACGTCTTTGAATGGATCACACCCAACGATCTGAAGTTGCATCCAGACAGTTCCTTACAGGACCTGAGGCTCCAAGTCACCATGTAACCCTAATGTCTCAGCCATGGTGCGTCTGTCATGGTGTGAGGACACAGAGAGCAGTCACCTAGCACTAACCCTGGTACTAGCACTGTGCTTCATTTACTCCATTTAATTCTCCCAGCTGGGAGAAGCTGCCCATCAAACAGAATAAGCTCCATAGGCCCTGCAAGATCTGCCAGGCTGCCTCTCTGAACTCACCCCCTCCCTCACCCCCACTGCTCCTCCCTGGGGATGCTCCAGCACAGCAGCCTTCTTTCTGTCCCCTTAGCACTCTGCATCCATTCCTGCCCCAGGACCTTTGCACTTGCTGTTCTCTCTGCCCAGGACACTCTGCCACTATTTGCACCATGCCAGTAACTTGGCATTGGGGTCTTTCAATTGCCTTCGCAACAGTTATCACTGTTTGTTTCATTGGTTTGTTTGTGAGTTTGTTGTCTGCGTCCTGACACCTTGAAAACAGGGGCCTTGCTTGTCTGGAAGAGCTGTGTCCCAGCACTGAGAATGGATCATACAGGTGTGACGGGGTGAAGCCAGGTCTAGAGCCCTTGTGTTAGGGGTGCAGAGCCTTTCTCACCCCAACCAATGCCACCACCTGGTGCCTGATGACCCCATGCACCAGGGTGAGGCAGGGACAGGTTCCCTTCTGTAACAGCTTCTATCAGAGCTGCTCTCAGGGAGGCATAAGGCAAGGTGCCTTCTGCCCCCTTGGAAGCAGGGCTCAAAGGGGAGGTGGGTTCTACTTCTCTCCCATTTCACAGATGAGGCAGCTGAGGCACGGATGGGAAACACTCAAACTCCCACAGCTTTAAGTGGCAGAATGGGACTCAAGCCCAGACAGTCTGGGGTAGGGGAGGAGGAAGTGAAGGGGAATTCCAGCCCAAGAAGCATTACATCTCAGTCTAAGGGAGTTGTTCTCAAATGTTTCGAAGCAAGAGCATCGATCACTGCAGTCATTTTTCGAAAGGTCATTTTCATGGCCCTGCCCCAGCGATGCTCGCTTGGCAGGACAGATGCGGCGCCTGGAGTCTGTATGTTTAACAAGCATATGCCTAGGTGCCTCTGATGCAGGTGCTGTGCTGCAGGGCCACCCACTCTTTGGTTGCAGCCGGGAGAGGAGGTGGTTGTCCTGGCCAGAGACCAGAGAAGCCACCTCTGTAATGTTCCCTCCAAGATCACCATTCCCTCCTCTGCCCCCGATCTCCAGCCCACTTCCCTCCCAGTCTTCTGTGAGGCCCCGGGGCTCATCCATGCTGGGAGGCCTGGCTGCTGTCAGCCCATGGAATTTGAAAGTCCTCTGCAGAGCTTCCTGGTGGATGGGAGGAAGAAAAGACATCTGGTCAAGTTCTTCCCTGTTTTCCCTGTGCCTGGCTGGGACCACTCAGAAGTCGATGCAGTCCCCATCAGCAGTGACCCACGACGGGGTGAGGAGCAAGCCTCCTGCAGAGGAACAGGGCTGGCTCTGAAAAGCGCAGGTGGAGACGACTCGAGTTCAAAGGAGAATGCTTCTTGCAGGCGGCTCCTCAGGATACCCCAATGCCGCTCAGGGTTCTGCTACGGAAGGGCTTCCTTCAAAAAGCCTGGGTCCCTTCTTTTGCCACACCCTGTCTCATCCTAGGTGGGTGTGAGGTCTGGCCAGGACCCCAGATCCTAGCTGCGGGGGGTGGGGGCTCAGCAGGTGAATGAGCCAGGTTGTGAAGGCATCTTTGCCTTCTCACACAAGACGTAGTCCCAAGAAAGGACTCTGTCCTGTGTGCGGGGCTTCATCAGCTGGCTGCAAGACTGCTCCTGAAATGAGGCGTGGGCTGGGGGGCAGTGGTGGCCACAGCCGCTGTGCTCTCCCTGGATGTGCAGATGCTTGCCTGTTTACCTGATGGTCATGTTTCTCACTCGAGAGGGGCAGGGGCAGGCAGAAGCGCAGGTTTGGAAATTTTAAGTGCAGTGAGCCCTCTTGAGCAGTAGCCTCATGCCAGGCTCTAGGCCAAGCACTGGACAAGGGTCCTCTTACTGCACAGGGCACCGGAAGATGACCGCAGAGCCTCTCATCCCGCCTTCCCCGGGGCCCCCCAGGCCTGTGGAAATGAGGCCCAGAAGCCACACAGCGAGGCAGGTTTGACTTCGCTGCTATGGAAGATGCGTGCTGGGTCATAGCCAGGTGCTGGGTGGAGCAGCGCTGACAGCCACCCGGGGCACTTGGCGGGTCAAGCCAGCTGCTAAAATATTCAATCGCTTCCATCCCAGGTAGTGAGTAGCTGCCGCCTCTGGCCCCAGAGGCCTCTGCTCCTCTGTCCTGGCCACTCCGCCCCTACCCCCAGCCTCCAGGGCCTCCAGGACCTGCCCTATCCAGTGGCTGGTCTGGCCACAGCCCCGCTGGCTCGGCGCCCTGGCACCTTGGGTTGTTAAATATTTTAACTGTCGCCCTAGGGTTCAGGAGAGGATTTGGTACAAATATGACCTGAAGTCCTCCCTAAGCTACGATGGGGCCCTCAGACTATCACAGATGAGGACCCAGATCAGCCGAGAAATGATCATGTCCCTGAGCCTGAGCTTCCTTCTCCATTAAAAGCAGCAACCAAGGTCCATGCATCCTGCCTGCCTCGCAGCACTGTCTATCCAGGGTCCTCCGGCTACGCTTTGTACGTGTGAGCGCTCAGAGTCTCCCGGGCTGCAAAGCCCTGGGTCTCCTGCGGGCTGGAACTAGCTTGCGGCCCCACCCAGAACCTTTCTTTCCTGACAACCAATATTTTAGAATTAGTCTTCAGTTCTGAACAAGAGCAAAAATCATTAGACTTTTTCATAGGGGACTTGTTTCCATCGGTGTTTGCCGAACCCCAGCCTGGGGTCTCTGCAGTTCATTATTTGTTTTTTGTTTTTTGTTTTTTTCTTCATTGGTGATGAGCTGTTTTCCAAATTCAGTTGCCATGTTGGCGGGAAGCTCGGGCCTCCCACGCGGTGCTCAAACTGGCCTTCTCGGCTGGCATGTGGGGGAGAGGGGAGCTGTGGGCCCCATTCCAGATGGCTGGGGAGCCCCTGCGGGATGCAGGAGAGGAGGCGCAGAGTGCCGAGGTAAACACAGGCTGGGCCGATCGCCCGTGGCAACCTCCCCTCCAGAGGAGGGAGATGGCTGGAAAACCAGGAAAACAGTATCGAACCAAGCACGTGGCGGCGGAAGTTGTCGCCCAGCTGGGGTTTGCTGCTACCCTTCCCCCAACTCTGGGAGGAAGGGGCAGGGGAAAATTCCAGAATCTAACAGGACAGGGAGGTTGGCAGAAGGATCTGTGCGAACTAACAAGCGCGAACACGGTCAGGAGGGTCAGGTCTGTGGTTAGGAAAAAGGAGAGAGAGGTTGAGAGCAGGCACCGGGGACTGCGGTCCGTCCGCGCCTTGCAGGCCACCCCCGCCCACACCAGCAGCACCTGCTGGGTAAATGAGGGCCCAGGCCTGTTCCAGACACAGGGAGCTTCCTTCCTGTGAGAACATCTTTTTGTCCTTGAGCGGGTGGTGATAGATAGAGAAACCAGCTCAGAGAAGGGAGGTAAGTTGCCCAGGGTCACCGGGAGAATTAATATCATAATTGAGAATAACAACTAGGCCTCCTATTTACTAGATAAAATAGCACTGGGAGATGTACTGAGAGAGATAGGAAAATAGAATTTGAAATCATTTATTATTTCTCTGCAAATGTAGTTGGTGTTAGGTTTTTTTTTCCTCCTCTCCTCTAGAGATGCTGTAACCACTACTGACTTTTCCCTATCCATGCACGGAGGCTGAGACCCTGTGTTTCGCCTGGATTTCATTTCCTCCTGCCTGCCAGGGAAGCTTCTCTGTATAGGATCCAGGGGCAGGTTGCAGGGAATCGCCAGGGGTAGAGCCAGCAGGGCCACCAAGTTCACTCTGGGGCCACCCCAGTAGGACAGATGTGCACCTGGAAGCTGACAGCCACCATGCCCTCCCCCTGATCTGGAGCTGCTGTTGATTCAGGCCAGCAGCTGGAGGTGGAGGTTCAAATCCCAGCTCCGCCTGTACTACAGTCCTGGAGCAGACTGCTTTACCTCTTTGAGTCTGAATTTTCCCTCTCTGTAAAAGGAGGCTACTCTCCTAAGGTTATTATGAAGATCAAATGCAGCTGGTGTGCTCGGATGCAGTAGGCGTGAATAGATGACTGTGTTGTCGGAGATGCTGCTGTTGCACGCGACGGTTAAACTGGAAGGGTTTGTGAGGGCAACTTATGTGAGAACTTTCAAGAGCTATGAAATTAATTGGAGGGTGTTAACTGTAGAAATAAAGTAACAGAAGAAAATTGCCTCTAAAGAATTAGAACAAAGCAATTATCTAGAAAGAAAATGATGTCAAGGAGGAGTAAGACATGCAAACCGCGGCGGCGTGGAGACCCAGGAAAGCGCAGACCATCATTCAGGGGCTGAGCCTGGGGAGCTCTAGGGGGCCCTCGGGGATACCCTCACACCCTCACCATGGGGAGGTGGGAAACTAAGGCTGGCAAGCAGATGGAGACCAGGGCCACACCGTTAAGACCAGACTCCCAAGCAGTGAGGCAGACACAAGGTAAGTGACAAGCTGTCCTATTAGATGTGGATTCTAGTCCCCGTTCTGCTATTCGTGGGCTGTGTGGCCCTGGGTGCATTACTCGAAGAGACTGGAGACAACAAACTCTAAGATCCTTTTCAGGTCCCAAACCTAGGAGTCCAAGTACTCTGGAATATCAGGGGCAGGGAACGTGGGACAGGGGATCGGCGCCAGCTGGACCAGGAGGCGCTGGAAAGAACTTAGAATAAAATAGAGTCTTTTATCTGGATTCTGTTTTAGCTGGACTCCCCCTCTGGGTGCTGGGCAAGTCCCTCTACCTCAGTGCTCTCATCTGAAGAAGTATCTGCAGAGGCAGCTGAGAGGGGTACATTGGACGAGGTGTGTGGACACAGGCTCGGCGTTGCCGTGAGCCAGCATCTGCTTGCTTCCTAGGCCGGTCCTGCTCCGGGGCCTCCTGTCCTCTGTGAGGCTTGGATGGAACTGACCCCCCTCCCCACTTCACTTGGTCCTTTGGAGTGGGCCAAGACAATCAGCGTATCCCATCCTCCTGGCCACAGTGTTTGGTTTAGGGAAGGGGCATGTGACCCAAGCCAGACCAATCAGAAAGGACCTTGGGACTTTTGCAGGGAATGCCTGGCCCCAGACATGCTCCCCCAGTGTGTTCCACAGGAAGCATGTGGTCTCAGGAACTGTTAGATGTTCTCACAGGGAGTCCTGGATTCAGCCGTACCTGAAGCTGGACGGCTCCATGAGCTAACATATTTCTTGTTTGCCGAAGCCATGCTGGCTTATCCTCAGCCACTATTCAACAAAGCCTCTCCCATCCCACCAAATCACCAGCTCATTTGACATTGAGATTCCCTTCTCCTAAGTGCTGACTCCGGGATGGGAATTTCCACCTCCAGCCTGCTCCATCCTCCCAGCAGCAGCAAGGAGCAGGTTGTGGAGCACAGCCGGCCTAGCCCTTGCTGCCTGACATCGCCCCTCCCCTACTCAGGAGCTCCGTGTTCTCACCTTGCTATTAAGCATTGCCAGGAGCCAGCCTCCGCTCAGCTCTGGGCCCTGTGCATCAGGCTCGGAGCTGCATTAAATAAAGACTGCAGCCCTGAAACTGCTCAAATGGATCTACATCAACGAGAACAGCCAGGGGAGGCCTTTAAATAGATTATCACCAAGAGCCAGCCAGAGCAGGCAAAGTTTGCCTTAGGCATCATTCCCTACCTCCCAACCCTCCCCCTACCCCTTCCTGGGCCTCTCCTGCCCTTCCTCGGTCTGCTTTGAGCATGCCTCACCCCAGACCCTGTCATAAATTAGTTCACACATTCATGGCTTAATATGTTACTCCTCTAGTTTGAAAAGAACAGAATGCAGGAGTGGGCAGTGTTTAACCTAGGGATGAGCTCAGCAATAATGGAATTCTAGGGATCCTAAAACCATGACAGATCATGAAATACACGTTTGGAGACAGAGGAACATCTCCAGCCTCCCTCAAGCAACCACTGAGCCCCCACTGTCCCCAGAATTTCTTTCACTGACCACAAACACTAAGTCCTTTCCTTTCTTCTCAGAGGCTGTACCTCGAAGTCCAATCCGTGCATATTCCACTTCAGGTTTGTGCTCTCCCTCCTCAGGGAGGACAGGAGAAGGAAGGCGGGAGCCTGGGTTCTCTGGACAGGGGTCCCTCTGCCTCCTTAGGTGCCTGGGATCAGATTTTCTGCTTGGCCGGAGTGGAATTCATCACTGGCTGCGGGACCTTGAAGGGGAAGCTCCTGGGGGTGCTGATCCCCAGGAAGTGAGAGCTTTCCTGGCAATGCTGCAACAGACCTCACTGCATGGCCAGGGTCCTCCCACCCCCACCCATGGGGCCATTCTCCACACCCCAAAGGGCTACTGTCCCTGCCAAGTGTCAGGTTCTGCCCTAGGGGCCTCAGGTGCACTATCTCATTTAATCCTCAAAAGCAGACCAGGCTACGTGGCTCACACCCGGAATCCCAGAGCTTGGGGAGGCCGAGGTGGGAGGCTCGCCTGAGGCCAGGAGTTCAAGATCAGCCACATAGGGCAACCTAGGGAGAACCTGTCTCTACAAAAAATAATCCTCAAAAGTCACATACATGATCAGCACTATGATTATCTCCATTGTACAGATGGAAACACTGAGGGCCGGAGAGGTCAAGTAGTCTACCCTAGGTCACCCAGGCAGGGAGCAGCAGAGCCAGGACTCAAGCCCAGGGAAGCTGGCTCAGAACCCAAGACCTTGCCAGGTCCGCGCAAGGCCCCCTGCCAAGCCCTGTATTGATGGCCTGCTGCTGAAGCTTATCGCCTCCCACAGCCAGGTCCTGAGCGAGACAGAGCACGGTCTTGACTGTATCCTCTGTCATCACCACCCCATGGGGCGGGCCCATAAGCCCCAGTGAGCCCCACTCCACGGATGAGAACGCTGAGGGTAGGAGAAGAGACGTGACTGACCCAAGGCCACTTAGCAGGTGAACAGCCATGCTGAGATTTGAGCTCTGGTCCATCTGATTTCAATGCCCATGATTTGCCTTTTGGGGTCCAAGAGCTGCTGGGTGGTACGCCTACAAAGAACTTCTTCTTTGTAACTTTTTGTTTTGAAATTATTACAGATTCACAGGAACTTGCAAAAATAGTACAGAGAGGTGCCGTGTACCCTGCACTGGGTTTCTCCCAGTGGTTCTATCTTACATAACTCTAGTACAATACCAGACCAGGAAACCCACATTGGCACAGGGTATGCATACGGCTCTACGTCATTTTGTCACATGTGGAGATCATGAAGCCACCACAGCACTCAAGATCTAGACCTGTTCCATCCCCGTGAAGATGTCACACCCACCTCCACCCTCCACCAGCCCTAGCTCCCAGCAGCCACCAGCCTGCTTGCCATCTCTATAATTCTGCCGTGTGTGGAGTGTTATGCCCAGGAAATCATAGAATATGTTTTGAGACTGGCTGTTCTCACAAAGGTCTTATCCTTATCTTCAGCATGTATTGAGAGCCTACTGTGTATCAGGCACATATTTGTCCCTTTCAGGAATACAGCACATACAACTCCTTGATTGCAAATGACAGAACCCAACTCAGGCTCTGTTATAAAAGGCAATGTATTGGCATCGATTACTGAAAAGTCCAGAAGTGGAGCTGGCTTCAGGCCCAGCTGGATCCAGGGGCTTGTTAGGACTGCTCTTATTCTCCGTGCTTTGGCTCTGCTCTCCTCTCTGCTGGTTTTCCTCACAGGCGGGCTCTCACCACATGGCAGCCACCAGTAGCTCTAGCTCATAGCCTGCTCACTCTCACAGTGAGCAAGGAGCACCCCTTCCTTAGAAAAGTTCCAGCACGCTGGGCGTGGCAGAGTATGCCTGTAATCCCCGCACTTTGGGAGGCTGAGGCAGGAGGATCACTTGAGCCCAGGAGTTTGAGGCTGCAGGGAACTGTGGTTGCACCACTGCACTCCAGCCTGTGCAACAGAGTGAGACCCTGTCTCAAAAAAAATTTAAAAAAGGGGCTGGGTGTGGCGGCTCACGCTCGTAATCCCACCACTTTGGGAGGCCGAGGTGGGAGGATCACGAGGTCGGGAGTTTGAGACCAGCTTGGCCATCACAGTGGCCCATCCCCACTAAAAATACCAAAATTAGCTGGGCGTGGAGGCGGGCGCCTGTAATCCCAGCTACTTGGGAGGCTGAGGCAGGGGAATTATTTGAACCTGGGAGGTGGAGGTTGCAGTGAGTTGGGAACACGCCACTGCACTCCAGCCTGGGCGACAGAGCTGGACTCCGTCTCAAAAAAAAAAAAAAAAGAAAGAAAGAAAGAAAGAAAGAAAGGAAAAGGGAGTGGGGTGGCGGGCAATGGAGGGGAGGGGAGGGGAGGGGAGGGGAGGGGAGCTAAGTTCAGCAAAGGTTCTGGCCCTGACTAGCCCAGCTTGGCACCCACCTGACCCCAAGCCAAGCACTGAAGTGGGGGTGGGGCTGAGTTTGCAGTGCTTGGATTGTCTCATCTTTGGTCACATGTCTTCTCCTGTCAGCCCTTCCCAAATCTCAGGGATTGAGAAGGGGCTTAAGGAAAATTTGGGATGCTGTTGTCAGAGGAAGGGGTGCTATTCCAGGCTGGCCTGAGGGGTAGGTGATGGTATTGTACTACCTCAGTGCAACTGGTTTAATTTTCAAAATATGTGCAGGAAGTCAGGCTGGGAAAGGCTAAGTAACCTACCCAGATTCAGAGCTCTGGGTCCAGCCCTGCAGGGCCTCGGACCCCGGGCTTGTGACTCTTGTTTGCTCCCAGGCTGCCTCCCGCCCCCACACCCTTCTGAAATGCCCACACTCTTCCTACTTCCACGCTCAGATGCAGAATTGAAAGGCTCTGGCATCCAGCAGAGCTGGGTTCATACCCAGCCTTGATACCAGGCATCTCCGTTTCTGCCTCAGCCTGGCTGTGGCCTTTGTCTCTCTGAGTCTCTTTGGTTTCTTTGAGACTCGTCCAGTGGACCACCGGACCCTCCAAGGCCGCGGGGGAGGCCTCCAGTGGGGCTGTCCTTGAGGGGCCCCTCCTGGGATGCAGGCTGGCACCAAGCCGCTCACAGTCACATCCCCACGCGTGTGCCGGCTCTGGCACCCGCTCCACGCGTGGGCTGCCACGTGGCTCCGAAAGAGCCAGGAAGGAGACGGCCACCGTCCAACAGGGAGGACAGGCAGATGGAGAGGGTGACTCAGCACGGGGGCCAGATGTGGCCAGATGAGAAGAGTAAACACGAAGGCCAGACCTGCTGAGGCCCCCTCAGAGCTGGGCAGGGATGGTGGGGGCCGAGCGGTGACAGACGGACGGGAGATGGGGCTGGGGGAGATGGATGGCACCAGCAGGCTCAGCCGAGTGAGGAAAGCCAGACAGATGGTCTCGTTAAAGAAGCCAGCCCGCGTGAGGGAACAGGGCTCCGCGCAGGAGTGGGGGACAAGGCAGGCTCCTCCTTGAGAGGGGCTCCTCCGGCCTGGGCCATTCCACCTGTGCTGGGCCCTGTCCTCATTCTGTCTGGAGTGGCCACCAGGTGTGGGCAGGCCTTTCTCTTGGGTCTGTCTCAGGTGTCTTCACTGCTGGCTTAAAAGCCCAGGCACAGCAGGTGGGACGGGAAGCCCCATCCCAGGACAATCCCCCTCCATCCTTACTGCCGCCAACACGCTTTTCTGAGCTCCTGCCACCCAGACACGCATGGCTATTGAGCTGCATCACCCCCACGTTGCAGTTGCTGTCCCCTCCACTTGGAGCCGTCTCCCTCAGTCCCCAATCACCTCCTCCGAGAGGTCCTCCTTGACCGCCCCATCTGAAGCAGCTCCATCACTCCTGAGCCCAGGGCACCGCTGTGGTTCCTCCCAGCCTCACTGCCTTCTGCACGTGCCCCATTCATTTCCTCATCGGCTTCATCCCCCCGCTAAAACAGGTGATCCTCTGGGATAGGGGCTGGGTCTGTCTCATTCTCAGCTGTGTCCCAGGCCCCGGAACCTGGTAGGTGCTTGATAAATGTGTGTGGGCTGAATCTTCACAGCCCGGGCCTGCCCTGCCCTCCTCTCCCCGTCCCCGCTTGCTCTCCTTAGCGCGCTTCACTGCCTCCCACATCACGTACCCGGCTTCTTCACTCTCCCTCACTAGGATGGGAGCTTCAGGAAAGAAGCAGTTTTTGTCTGTATGTCCAGTGCTTTGTTAGTTCCATGAATGGTCCTGGGGTGGATACCGTCACCTGAGGAAGTGGAGGGGTGCAGGAAGGAGCCTGCCTTGCAGAGGACGAGGAAGGACCAGAGCAAGGCGCCTGTATGTTTCCAGACGGTGAGAGCCAGATCAGGGGACAGAATCGGGCTTGTCCCCAAGTCCTGCTACTCCATGGGCCCCCACTTGGCATTTTCCTCTGGGACCCTGCTTGTCCTGGCTGCCAGCAAAGGCACCTCGGGCCCAGAGCGGACCACCGTAGCCAGGGTGTTAGGCGAAGAGCGGCCCCCAAAGACACGCAAGTCCCAATTCCTGGCAAAGGGGACTTCGCATATGCGATTGAGAAGGGAGGGTTATCCTGGGTTATCTGGGTGGGCCCTAAATGTAATCACAAGTGTCCTTATAATCGGGAGGCAGGGGGAGATTTGACACCAGAAGTGGGAGCTGTGACAACAGAAGCAAGAGGTTGGAGTGATGTAAGGAAGTGGAATTCTGCCGAAGAATGCAGGCAGCTCCGGAAGCTACAGAAGTCCGGGAAATGGATCCTCCCTCCAACCTCCAGCAGGAGCCAACCTGCCAACACCTTGACTTTAGCCCAGTGACAATGATTTTGGACTTCTGGCTTCCAGAGCTGTAAGAGAATAAATTTGTGTTGTTTAAAAAGTCACCAAGATACCGAGTTTCAGCTCTGCAAGATGAAAGGTTCTGGGGATCTGTTGCACAATATGAAGATACTTAGCAGCACACTATACACTTACAAATGGCTGGCAGGGTACATTTCATGTTACATGGGCTTTTTTTAACCACAATATTTAAAAATGGAAAAAAAAAAAAGTCACCACACTTGTGGGAATTTGTGACAGCAGCCACAGGAAACGAATACAGCCAGACTGTAACTGACTGGCCCCGGGGAACCTGGGTCTCAGGCCCATCCTGGCCCCTTCCCTGGATGAGCCTTCTCCGTGCAGGCAGGGATGCCCCAGGAGACTAGGAACCACCTGACTGGCCACACACCTCCCTCGCTCCTGTCAACATCCTGAGAAGTGGTTTCTATGATGATCCCCAACCTCCCAACAAGGAAATGGGCTCAGAGAGGTGAGGTGACATGCCCAAGGTGACACACCAAATAGCAGAGCTGGAATTTGAACCATGAGTTCCTAACCCCGTTTCCTGCATCCTGAAGTCGGATTCAGCCCTCGTCTCATAGCTGCTGGCCCACAGGCGTTCAAATGCCCAAATACTGCTTTTCAGCAGCTTCTAAAAGAGCCACAGAATTGCCTTCTTTTTCTCTGTTTGTAACCAGGCAATCTCTTCCAGTTAATCATAGAGCAGAGAGTCTCATTCTGTCCCGGTACGCCCACAAGTAGATCTGAGATTGCATGGGAAAGTACAGAAAAATGAGTTAGCTCACGTTCTATGTACGGTCCTCTGAGGCCCTACAGCTGAGCCTGCGATGGTGGGTAGGCTGCAAACCAGTGGCCCGTGGGCCACGCCTCTCCTGCAGAGGGATTCTGCTTGGTCTGCGCTATATTGGTTGTATTTTTATCCTGTCTCCAACATTTAACACCAGAAGATTTCTTTTCAAAATCACAAGTCAGGACAACATTTACCTCTATTTCTGTGTAGGTCAGGACAGGCTGAGCTATGCTGCAGTAACAAGCACCTCCAAGTCACAGGAGCTTACCACGCAGGTCTTTATTTCTTATGAGCACCACATATTCAGTGCAGGTAGCCAGGGCACTCTGCTCCACACAGTCACTTAGGGAACCAGGCTGATGGAGGCACCACCATTTTTAAGTGGCATCTGAGACACATGACCTTGTCAGTTGCTGCTTCTGGGAAAGAAGAAACAGAAGAAGAGCACAGGGACATTGCACGGCTTCAGCATGTGACATCGCCTGACTTCTGCTCACTTGTCATTGACTGAAACTAGTCATGTGGCCCATCCACACCCCAAGGGCTGAGAAGTACAGTCTTCTGTGACCACTAGTTTTACCAGTTTCAATACTGGTGGGCACTAGTCTATAGCATCTTCCCACTTGGCAGCAATTCACTGGGGCCGAATGAGCCTTGCCCACCTCTGGGCATGCTGCTATGGACAGATGTTCAGAGTGTGCACTGCACAGCTCCAGGAGCCACCATTCAGGTTGTATTTTCTGGGGTTGGTGTTCCCGGCAGCTGTGCAGTGCTCAGCTATAGCAGCCCTTTCCTGAATGCAGGGCATTCAAAGAGTTTACAAATGGACCCCAGCTTCATTTTTCAGTCGTATCCCCCCTGTCCCCCACCCCCATCCCTGGCTGCCATGTGCCCCTCTGCTCTTGTCAGTAATTCCTAATTCCCAAGGTGGTCTAGATGGCCCTCTGAGCTCTCCACATCCTCCATGAAACAAATCAGTTTGGGAAATGGGGCACGCTATACCCCATTAAAGGCTCTGGTGAGTCCTGCAGTGACAAAATCAATCTAACTTTGTTTAATCCAGTGTTTGCCAACTTTTTGCCCTTTTCTCTTTCTTTCTTTCTTTAGACAGAGTCTCGCTCTGTCGCCCGGGTTGGAGTGCAGTGGCGCAATCTCGGCTCACTGCAACCTCTGCCTCTCTGGTTCAAGGGATCCTCCTGCCTCAGCCTCCCGAGTAGCTGGGATTACAGGTGCACCACCACCATGCCCAGCTAATTTTTGTATTTTTAGTAGAGACGAGGTTTTGCCATGTCAGCCAGGCTGGTCCCTAACTCCTGGCCTCAAGTGATCTGCCTGCCTTGGCCTCCCAAAGTGCTGGGATTACAGGTGTGAGCCACTGTGCCCAGCCCCTTTTGCCCTTTTCTTAAACAGAACTTGTGATGTCCCAGGAGGAGGAAAGCCCATTCACCCAGCACACTCTGCCCATGTGTTTGTGTCTGCACCATTCTCCTTTCCTTACTCTTCCTTCCTCAAGTGAGCTTAACAGCTCCCACACATCCTGTAAATGCCCTTTCTGAAGATTCTCCTCATGGCCTGTGTCACAATGAAGAGTTGGTTTTGTGTTGGGATTCCCCTGCACCGGAACTTCTGTTGGGCATTGCTCTGAGCCCCCGGGGACATAGACCGAGCTGCCTCCTCTCTGTGGGGGGACATTCTTGCCCCCTGGCACTGAGCATGTCTGTGCTGTCTTCCTCCTTCCCTGGGGTGGGCAGAACCTCTGGACTCAGCCACCCACCATCATGCTCCTGCTGGGAGCTTCTTGAGAAAGGAGACTCTCCAGTAAAACCATGTTTTGGGTCTCATATGTTAAAAATGCCAGAAATTCCCCATAGGGTTACAGAAACTGCGGGATAACTTAAATGTTTACATTCAACCATTCATTCACTCATTCATTCAGCACGTGTTTCCAGAGCTCCTACTTAGGGGCCAGGCACTGGGGAGACATCAGGGAACAAAACAGACATGGGGTCTGTTTTATAGCCAGTTGCATTGGAGGCGAAGTAGAGAAGCACTAAGCAGCTGTTCAAGGCGCCAGGTGGGGGTGTGTGCTGAGCAGGCAAAGCTGGGCCAAGGGGCTGGGGTGCGGGAGGCCGGGGAAGGAGCGGCTTCCCTCTTCTGTGGGGTGGCTCCAAGAGGCCTCTCTGATTGATAGGATGATGTGAGCAGAGATTCAAGAAAGAGGAGAGCGGCACACAGCTGTCTGCGGGGAGAACCTTCCAGGTTGGGTAAGCCGCAGAGGCAGAGGCCCTCAGTGGGAGTGGCTGGAAAGGAGGCTGGGTGGCCAGAGCCCGGGGACAGGGAAGGAGATGCTGAGACAGGCCTTCAGCCCACAGGGCCCAAGGGAGGCAGAAGGTGGGGCTGGGTTCTGGACAGATCCTGCGGACGGAGTTCACAGGGGTGCCGAGATTCCCCAGAGAACGAGGGAGAAGACAGAGGCGAGATGGCCAGTTATGCAGAGTGACACCTGCCTTCTTCTCTCCATCCCGACAGAGCATCTTTGTGAGTCTCCAGTGCAAATCTGAGGCCTATTAAACTGAGGCCTAGGAGAGCAGCCTGCACGGACCCCTTTCCTTCCCTGTGAGGGAAGATGCCGGACCCCGCAGCACCCTCTGCAGCCCTGGGAATCCGACGGCTGGGTTATCAGCCCCATCTCACAGGCTGGGAAACTGAGGCTCAGATGAGGTTCTGGGGCCCATCAGAGCCCTGAGGGCGAGTGTGTCCTGCCTCAGGAATCCTCCCAAGGTACCCACCTGGGGACATCGAGTAGACAGAGGTAAGAGGGCAAAACAGCTCAGTGCCCAAGCCAGGACAGGAGTGACAAAGACCTGTGGTCCAGGAACCCTGCCTTGACAGAGGACTGAGGCTGGCCTGCCGAGGAGTGGCTGGCCATGTCTGGGGTTCCATCCTGAGCTCCTGGCAGAGAGGGGCACATCAGAGGACCCAGCATGCAGAAGGCAAAGGAGGGGGCATCCCAGAACCTCTGGCAGTGGTGGCTTTGGGGGAAGCGCCTGGAAAGCACAGGCTCTGAGGGTGGTGGGAGCTGTTGCTCAGTCTGCAGTCCCGGCAAACTGCCCGATCTCTCCAGGCCTCTGCTCCCACCTTAGGAACACGGGGCCTCCTCATGGGAGCCTCTGGTGTGTGAGCGAGTGGAGTGCCTCCCCTCCCAGCCCCAGCACAGCCCCACCGAACAGAGGGCCTGGGTCCCTGGAGCCAGGAGCACCCCCACAGGACGGGCTCATGGGTCATGTGTGACTGGCAGTGCCTACAACTCAGGACATTTCCTATTTTAAAAGCCCGGGCTTCCGATTCCTCTTCAAAATGCAGCACGGCCACCCACACCGGCCTGTCTTGCGAGTGCTTCTGTCAGCTGGAGCCCCAAGGGTCCGCCCTGGGCTGTCCCCACCTGGCTGGCTTGGCTGTGGGCATGAGAGCTTGCAAGCCCTACCCTTGAAAAGGTGATGAGGCTGCCGGCAGGGATTTCACCCCCTGCTGCCCCTAGAACTGACAGATACACCTTCTCCCACAGGCCAAGGCCCGGGGTCCCCCACGCCCCTGCAGGCTGAGACCAGAATCGTCCCCAGCGGCAGGCGGCGTGAGCTCCTCCAGCCGCTCTGTCCTCTGCAGCCACTGGTGATGGACAGCATGGAGAGGGCCACAGCTGGGGTTCACTCCCACCTCTCTCATAGGCAGAGGAAGCTGGAAAGGGTGAGGGGGAATCCCTCGTGAAGGGGAGTGGGGAGTCTCCAGGAGCTGCCCCAGCCCTCCACAACAGGAGAAGCCAAGGACAAAGCCCACCAAAGGGCAGGGCAAGAGCTGCGACAGCCCCAGGACAGGAGCCTCCTCCCGCTGCTGACACCTCCTAGACCAAGGGTGGAGGCCTGTGCGCCCCTACTCCCTGCCTCCGGGGCCAGCGAAGAAAGGAAGGGCAGGCGGCCACATGGCCAGCCTGGAGACCCACACTCTTGTCCCTGTCTGCCCCACCTCTGTGTGCCCCCAGGAGGGTCCCTCAGCCTCCTCGGGCGTGAGTTTGGGGTGTTGAGAGAGAGAAGGTGGGCCTGCATGGCCTCTAGGGCCCCTTTGGACTCTGAAAACCTCTGGCTTTAATGGAGCCTTTATAGACTGTAAATAAAGGTTGTTATTTACAAACAGCACCCCCACCGCACCCGGCCATGGCACAGCCTGACCCTGCAGCCGACCTGGGCCGCGAGATGACAGCCTCCACAACAAGTGCTTGGGCCGGGCCTGGCATGTTCCACGTGAGCAACACACATTTCCTGCCATTGTTGTCACGGTGCCGCTCACACTGTTCAATGGGGAAGCCAAGACCCGGTGAGGTGACAAGACTGCGGTAAGGTCTCACGGTGGCCCGTATTCCCCAGGCAAAAGGTTCCAGAGCTGAGCCCCCTGCTTCTCAGCAAGTCCGGCTCCTCCCAACAAGGAGCACGAAGCTCTGGTCTTGTTAGCCCCTGTGGGGCTGCGGGTTGGGGAGGTCTTTGGTCCTGCATCCTGCCTGGGTGCTGGGCAGGTCATTCCAATGTCGCATTACCCATCACCCCAGCCCCCTGTTCTCCACCGCTCACTTCAGGTCAGGGAGAGAACTGGCTCTAGGCCAGGCGGAACCCAACTCAAGGGTCACTGGTGGGCTACCTGGAGGAATGCAGGCGGGCTGAGCGGGTTCTGGTAGCTTCTAAGCCCTAAGGCCCATTCAGAGGCGGCCTTCCAGGGTCACTCCTCTGAGCAGGGTGAAGGAGGGAGAGACTGAGAGCCCCCACCATGCTGCAGCCCTGGTGTCCTCGGCAGTGCTGGGGTCCGGTGGAAACCCCCCAGTCCCCCAAAGCAGATTCGGCTCAGGAACCCTGAGAATGGCCAAGTGCATCATTTTGGGGTTGTCTTTCTCACCAGTTCCGAATGTCTCCTGTTTATTATGCTTGAGGGCAGTTTTAGGAAAAGGTTTTATGGCTGCTGAGGCAAGAGTAAGTAATGCAAGATGTGGGGAAAAAGCAAATTCACGGAGTCCTCTCTGCAAATGCTGCGGGGCTGGTGCCTCCGACAAGGCAGATGGATGACCCGCAATTACCCGCCCGGATCCCCCAGCCTCACCCCGCTCCCTCCCGCCTGGTCTCCAAGCAATTTCAGACTTTTTGTACATCCAGAGCAGAGATTGTGTACGATTTCTCTCGCCGGCAGAAGCGGCTTTCAGGTAGGGGAAGGAGGCCGAGGCATGTTTATCTTTGAACAAAAGGCAGCTAGAGACAAAAAGGGAGCATGGCCCTGCCCCCAGCCGCCTGCTCCTGGTGCCCTCCCCAAAGCCCAGGTCCTTCCTCTGGCTGCAGAGGGGAGATTTTAATTGTGTGTGCTCAGCTCAGCTTCTTCAGGGTGCCAAGATCTGGGGACAATGGTGTGGGCTGCTCTGCTGGTCTCTCGTGTGTGGGTCAGGTGGTGTCTGTGCAGGTAGGAAGCAGTCACCGCCTGGGCCAGGCTGTGTCTATATGAGTACGGGAAGGGAGCCAAATGGCTGTCACTGGGCAGTTTCTCAACCCGGGCAGGCCCCTCTGGAGTCTTCCCTTGGTGGCGGGAAGCAGGATTTAAGGTGTCCAGTTTGAGGGAGAGGCCCTTCATCACCACTCCAGAACACCGCGGGCTTGACACAGGATGCCAGGGGTGGCTCTGGTTGCTGCTGGCAGCTGCGTGCATGTGCACACAGCTGGGCGGGGGTCTGCACTCTTGAGTGCTATCCCCACCCTCTCTCCAGCTCCCTGCTGGCTCCTGCAGGTGAAGGAGGAGTGCAAGAGACAGCTCAAGACCACAGTATGGAGCAGCTCCCCAAAGTCAGCCATTAGCTGCCACAGTCAGGATTTTGGTCACCTCTGTGTTCCACCTCTACATTCATTTATGTTTTTGTTTTGTAACTAGGTAATACAATCACATGGTTCCAAAAGCAGAAGGAGCTTAAAAGGTAAATGGAGCTGGGTGCAGGGGCTCATACCCGTAATCCCAGCACTTTGGGAGACCGAGGCGGGAGGATTACCTGAGGTGAGGAGTTTGAGACCAGCCTGACCAACATGGTAACACCCGGTCTCCACTAAAAATACAAAAAAATTAGCCAGGCATGATGGCTTGTGCCCGTAGTCCCAGCTACTCAGGAGGCTGAGGCAGGAGAATCGCTTGAACCTGGGAGGTGGAAGCTGAAGTGAGCCGAGATGGTGCCACTGCACTCCAGCCTGGGCGACAGAGGGAGACTCTGTCTCAAAAAAAAAAAAAAAAGGTGAATGGGAAGTCTCTCCCCTAACCTGCTGCCCCACCCACCCTCACCACAAAGGCAGGTATGCTTACCAGCTTTCCATCTGTCCATCCAGAGTATCTTTGTTGAAGTATAACAAATATGAAAACATATTCTTATTTTCTCTCTTTCTTGTACAAAACCGAGTGTGTCCTATGGACTGTTCCGTATCTCGTTTTCTCCCTTGATAGATTTATCGCGTGCATGCTCCACTTTGTACTAACTCGATGACATAGGTGTAAGGCTATTCACTGCACTACAAGAGCAAAAGATTGAAAACAACTCAGGTGTCCGCCCACAAGGGGCTGGCTCAATGAGCTAGGGCCTGTCAGGACCGTGGGATACTCTATAGCTGTGAGAACAAAAATAGAAAGGAGGAGAAGGGCAGGTGGGGAAGGTTTCTATCCCCTGATTTGGAAAGGCCTCTAATCTCCAGGCTTTACTGGCTGAATAGGAAAGGAGGGATTGTTGGTTTAAAGGACACATATATGCATTTACAATTTTGATACTGTCAAATCTTTTCTGGTTTCAGGATTTTGGACTCATAATTTGAATTTTTAATTTACTTAATATTTTACTTAATATTTTTCTTTGCAAGAATTTATGTTTTAAACTTAATAAATTTATATTAAAGAGATACTAGAATAGGGTTTTAAAAAAAACGAAAAAGGTGATGGGCAAGGCAGGGTCTTTCACTGTAATATAATGAAATACAACCCAACGCAATGGAAGTTCTTTCAGGCTCAGGTAAACAGGAAGGGCATTTATGAAAGGATATTTGGAGCCCAGAAACCCTCTGGGAAGCCGAGCATCATGCTGAGAGGCTGAACGCCTGGGAAGGAGCTGCAGACAGACAGCTGCCCTTGCCCTTGGCTTTGAGACCCCAACCTGCCCAGCTCTGCGTCCTGTCCCCCTGCTTCTGGAGGCCGGATGAGGTTGCTGGTGCTGCCACTGCCCCACACAGAGAGATGGATTCTGGGGGTCCCTGACTCTCTGTGGCCCTGGCTAGTTGGGGTAGGTGCTACTGATGGTGGACCCTTGTGTTCTGGGGAAGGCCCAGATTGTATGTCTGGCATTTCTGTGTACACAGAGAGGGGCTGGATCTTCCTTTTCAGGAAGAAGGTTCTGATACTAGGTAGCCAGGTTGAGAGTCCACTCCCAGAAGGAAGGGCCATGTTTCTAGAGAGAGTGCTGCACAGGGGCAGGGCAGGGGCACCGGATGTCTCAAGCTGGGCAGAGAGAGAGACAGAACTGGTCTGGGGCTGTGAACCCAGGAAGGAAGACTCAGTGGGTAGTCAGATTGTGTCAAGAGATATGAGGCAGCCAACCAGAGGCTTGAGAGCGCCAAGAGAAGGGAGGGAGAACTAGGGCAGAAGGGGAGGAAGAGGACCCAGTAGGGATGGTAGGATAGGGACTGCAGCAGGGGGAGGCTGGGAGGAGCTGGAGGAGGGGTGGAGGCTCAGGGCTGGAGGCTGGGGGGGAGAGTGGAAAAGGCCTGCGCCTGGAGGGTAAGCTTGGACCTGGGCCTGGGCCCAGGAGGGGCAGTGGCAAGCTGAGGGTGTGGGGGCACACAGGAGCCAGGGAACAGGTGGCCTTCCAGAAGCAGCACACAGAGCCTGCACCCCAAGGCTGCAGAGGCACCTTCCTGAGTCTGGCAGAGAAGGTACCTGTGTATTCAGGGTCCAGCAGGAGAGCTCAATGTGGCCTCTGCATCCCCCTAAATCCCCAGGGACACCAGCCCCCACTGCGGGAAGCTGGCAGTGGATCGTGTTTTTCCCTGCATCTGGGCTTCCCACGCTCATCTGTATGCCGGCACGGCCTGAGCCCCTCAACTCCATCCCTCCTCTTTGCTGCTCTTTTCACTGGAGCTGGCCCTGCCTGGAGGGCTTGTGCCCAGCCCTGCTTCTTCACAGCGAAGCCACGTCTTCAACGAGGTTGGGGGGATCCCACCTCCTCTCCACCACCAGCTGCTGCACACCCTGGGCTGTGTGTAGAGCCTGCATTATTCACGGCTCTCAGATCTCAGCAAAACGCACAGATCTGGGCTGGAACCATCACGGTTTTCATCTGCAGCTCTCAGCCCTCCTTCCCTCATGATGCCTCTGCATTTGATCTTCTGCAAATTTGCCTCTTTGTTCTTCAGACAGAATCATATTGCCAGGGGCTCCCGACAGCCCTTGGTGACACAGACTGCCACAAAAATTCTCTTTAAATATGAAAATAAAAACGTCCCCAGAGCAATGAGCGGGACACCTCCAGGTGGAAATGTCACAACCTGCCATAAGACAACAGCTCAGAGCAAAGAACAAAGCGGCCCGAACCCAGTTGTGTGTGGATGGGCACCGAGAACTCACAGGAGGAGAGGCGAGGCCGGTTTTGGTTCTCTCCCGCCTTGGATCAGTTGTTTCCCCCTGAATTTCATATTCTAGGCTTTAATGCTGCTTGATGATAATACCCAGAGCTGGTGAGGCTGCAGAGACGCAGGGAACAGATGCATTGCGGGGAGTAGCGTGTTTCTAGAGATTTCCAACAATGCTGATTGTCTCAGGCTCCAGGAGCCAGTGGCAGAAAATCCAGTTCAAACTTGGGGTGACTACTGGCTTATAAACCTGAAAAGTCAGGAAGCAGATGGCTTTGGAAACTGCTGGATCCAGGGGTTCAAAAATATCTTCAAAACCTGCATATCTACTAAACTGTGCAGGAAAAAAAATGGTTAATGGTAGTTTATGTTATGTGTATTTTACCATATTTGAAAAATTAAAGACCAGACACAGTGGCTCATGCCTGTAATCCCACCACTTTGGAAGCTGGAGGCGGGCGGATCACTTGAAACCAGGAGTTCAAGACCAGCCGGGGAACATAGGAAGATGCCCGTCTCTACAAAAAATACAAAAATTAGCCAGGTGTGGTGCCATGTGCCTGTGATCTCAGCTACTTGGGAGGCTGAGGTGAGAGGATCACCTGAGCCTGGGGAATTTGAGGCTGCAGTGAGCCGTGATTATGCCACTGCCCTCCAGCCTGGGTGACAGAGTGAGACGCTGTCTCAAAAAAAAAAAAAAAAGAAAGAAAAGAAAAATGTAAAACAAAACAAAGCAAAAAACATGCACAATGCCATGTCCCACTTTAGGCCTTAGGTGACTGCCTCCAACTGGAATACATCGTTCAAGTCGCTCAAATGTCAACTCTTCAGAGGCCCCCTGAAGGCCAGTCCACAATAGCCACGCTCCGTCAGCTACCCGCTCTCACCCCTATGGGCTGTTTCTCTTCTCTGCAGTTGCCACTTTCTGGAGCAATCCTACTTACTCACTTGTTTACCTGTGTGCTTACTGGGCTTAGGGCCTGCTTCTCCCTGCTAGTGTGTCTGGAATTGGTGGGTTCTTGGTCTCACTGATTTCAAGAATGAAGCCGCGGACCCTCGCGGTGAGTGTTAACAGTTCTTAAAGGCCGCGTGTCCGCAGTTTGTTCCTTCTGATGTTCGGAAGTGTTCAGTTTCTTCCTCCCAGTGGGTTCGTGGTCTCGCTGGCCTCAGGAGTAAAGCTGCAGACCTTCCCAGTGAGTGTTACAGCTCATAAACGCAGTGTGGACCCAAACGGTGAGCAGCAGCAAAATTTATTGCAAGGAGCGAAAAAACAAAGCTTCCACAGTGTGGAAGGGGCCCCGAGCGGGTTGCCACTGCTGGCTCGGGCAGCCTGCTTTTATTCCCTTATCTGGCCCCACCCACATCCTGCTGATTGGTCCATTTTACAGAGAGCTGACTGTTCTGTTTTACAGAGAGTGGATTGGTCCGTTTTGACAGGGTGCTGATTGGTGCCTTTACGATCCCCAAGCTAGACACAAAAGTGCCGAGGCCAAGGAGGCACCAAGAGCGAGCGAGGGCTGCGACGACTGCCAGCACGCTGTCACCTCTCACTAGGATGTCAGCACCGTGAGAATAGGGACTCTGTCTTGTTCGTGGCTGTTTCCCCAGGGCCAGGAATGGGCCTGGCACAGAGTGGGGCTTAGCACATAGAGGCAGGAGGAGTAAATGAAGGAAGGTTCTCTCTGCCTCCCTTGGTGCTCTCCCCTTGTGTTGGCACCATCTTCAGGGATTCTCCCTAGACAGTGGCAAATTGGCTGCAGGCAGCTCTGATGTTCGCTGTCAATATTATGTCGATATGACATCAGCGACATTATGGCATCATTCCTGGGACGTCCTCACAGCCCTGAGGGGGAAGAAAGGGCATTGCTAAGTGTCGCAAGGTTGCAAATCATTGGCTCTGACTCAGTCATGTGACATTCCCTGAACCAATCCCTGTAAAGCAGAGATGCAGTACTCTGATTGGCCAGGCCTGATGCCCAAGTCCACTGCTGTAACAGAAAGTCACCTCAGTCCCACTGAAGCGGCACATGGGCACGGGTGGGGGTTCCCCAGGAGAAAATCAGTGAGCCAGCAGCCAGAAGATGGGGCACAGATGTGGGGCAGGCACATCAGGTCAAGGCCACAAATGCCTCAGACACACCAGGTTATGTAACAGGCTGTTACGTCAATATCCCCCCAAATTCCTACGTCAAAGCCCTAACCCCCAGTGTGATGGTTTTAAGGTGGTCAAAAGGAACCTCTGCCGGGCATGGTGGCTCACGCCTGTAATCCCAGCACTTTGGGAGGCCGAGGCGGGCGGATCACTTGAGGTTGGGAGTTCGAGAACAGCCTGACCAACATGGTGAAACCCTGTCTCTACTAAAATACAAAAATTAGCTGAGTGTGGTGGTGCACACCTGTAATCCCAGCTATTCGAGAGGCTGAGGCAGGAGAATCACTTGAACCCAGGAGGCAGAGGTTGCAGTGAGCCGAGATCGCCACACTGCACTGCAGCCTGGGCGACAGGGTGAGACCCTCTCTCCAAAAAAAAAGTAACCTCGGTCCCCTGGTCATGAGGGTGGAGCCTCATGGATGGATTAGTGCCCTTATCAAAGGGACCCCAGAGAGCTCTCTGGCCCTCTTTCTGCCATGATGACACAATAAGAAGTTGACGTCCAAAACCAGAAGAGTGGCCCTCACCAGAACCCCTGCCAGTGCCCTGATCTCTGACCCAGTCTCCAGAACCTTGAGAAACAAACTGTTATGGTTTGTAAGCCACCTAGCTGATGGTGCTTTATTACAGCAGCCAGAAGGCATAAGACAAGGCTCTGGAGAATCCAAGATAGATAAAACTTTAATAAACATTTGCTGAATGAGGACAACACAATCTCTGACTGCTCAGAAGAGCAGGAAGACAGATCTGTGTCATCACAGAATGTGTTTATGCTGAGGGAAGGGATGGTGGTGGGGGCACTGTGTCCCTCCCTGTGAGCCGTGCCCAAGCCCAGGGGCCTGCCTGACCCAGGGATTCCACGAATTTACTCAAAAGGAGAAATAAATGATCTTGCACAAGGACAGTTGTTGCGGCATTATTTGTAATACAGAAAAAACTGGAAACAACCCAAATGTTCCCCGGTAGGGGACTGGTTAACTAAATTATGGAACATCCACTTGATGAAATATTCTGGAGTGGTTAAAAATGATCGTTATGAAAACTACAGAGCAACAAGGGAAAAGGCGTCTGTTCTAACACACAGTGACAGCACAGAATGCCAAACTGTGACCGCAAGAAGCACAAACCACGCGCCAGGCTCTGTGCTTGGGACACAAGAGACTCGCGGGAGCCCTCCTGCCCCCAGGAAGCTCCTGGCCCCGTCAGGGCAGGAGAGACGTGAAAACAAGGAACGACACTTGGGGTGAGAAGGTCAAGGACAGAGGCAGAGAGACAAGGAGTTACTCAGGGTCCAGGAAAGCTGCCTTGGGACCTGTCCTGTGAGCCAGGTTTTATGGGGAGTAACTACCAGGATTGGAGCTATGGACATTTTAGGAAAAGGGCTTGAAGGCAATATACATGGAAAAATAAAAATGAAAATAGTTGTGCCAGGTAGAATTATGGATGATTTCCCCATTTTTTCCCAAAAATGTTTCACGTTACATTGGTTTTACAATAAAAACTAGTTGACAACTAAGGTCAGATATGGGTGAATAACTTTCACTACCAATATTTGTGTCTATAAATCATACATGAGTTCATAAACGCTTTCTTCCTTGACAGAGCAGGGAAGTGAAGAAATCATTTATTGGACATTTTGCAAAAAGTATATCTGTATTGTTTGCAAGTTGCCTGGCCCTGGACTCTGCAGTGAAGGGGTAAGGCACTTACATTTCTAGCCAGGAGAACAGGCGTAAACATATGAAATAGGAAATGTTTTTAAAAATATTTAAATATTGGCTGGAGAGAAGTGTGGTGGCCAAGGCATTCTACAGGTGTGGGAGCATGGAGCTGGCTGAAACAGAGGAGGAGCAGAGACGGCCAGGGCAGATGGAGAGCTGGAACCCAGTGGGCTGCGTAAGCTGATGCTGTAAGCCACAGGGCAGGCTTTTGCTGCGGCTTGAAGTGTGGCCCCCTCCAAAATGCATGTGGAAACGGAATCCCTACTGGGGGAATGTTAGGAGTTGGGCACTTTGGGAAGGAATTAGGTCCTGAGGACTCCACCCCATGAATGGATTCGAGGGAAATAGCTGAGGCCCTTTTTGCCTTTCTGCTTTTCTGCCAGGTGAGGACACAGCCTTCGTCCCCTCTGGAGGCTGCAACAGCCAAGCAGCATGGTGGAAGCAAAGACCAGGCCCTCGGCAGACACCAACCGGCCAGCTCCTTGACTGTGGGCCTCCCTGCCTCCAGAGCTGTGAGAAAGAAACTTCTGTTCTTTACCAATTACCCAGTTGGGAGTTTTTTCTTATAGCCACAAAAATGGACTAAGAGACTTGCCTCTGGATAAGGGACAGGAGGTTAAGGGTCCGGGATTGGGAAGGGCAGGAGAGGGTCAGTCTGGAGAGGCAGAGCAGGACAGAGGTTGTGAGAAGTTTGCAGGTGGGGAAGGCCCCCTTTGGGGAGGTTCCAGGTGCAGCTTCCAAAGGGCTGAGCAGGACCCAAGGGCACAGGGAGAAGGACATGGCATCCTGTCAGGAGGTCCCTGCCCTGACCCCAACTGCCAGTAGCCTGCCACTAGCCAGTTGTGTGAATCACTCAGGGCTCTTAGCTGATCATTGTCCAAATCCTTTGAAGAACCCAGCGGATGGGAACAAGGCTGCCAGCACCCCGACCGTGCCCACCTCAGCTTGCATGCGGCATGGTCCCTGCTGCTACCCCGCCCCAAAGGTCTTCCCTGACTCCTGCGTCTTTGCTCACTAGCTCCTGACCAGATCTTGGCGGGGAGCGTCTTATTGGCTGGGCTTGGGCACAGAATCCCAGCCTAGCTGCTCGGCATGACAGGCAAGTATGTATATGGCATCGTCATACCCCTTCTACAAGGGGTGATGGGCTCAGCCTCATAAAGTGAGGGTCGCCCATACACAGGAGGGGGTTAGGTGTTCCGTGCCTGTTCATCTCCATCAGAAGCCCTAACTCTCACTCCCATCACCTCCTTTGTAAGCTGTGGAGGGTGAGATATGATGGCAGACAGAACATGCATATCTAATTTCACTCCTGCCCATCCTCCACTTAAAATACAGCAAATGAATTTTTAAATTTTATTTTTATTTTTTAGCGACAGGGTCTTGCTTCATCATTCAGGCTGGAGTTTAGTGGAGCGGTCATAGCTCACTGCAGTCTCCACCTCCTGGGCTCAATCGATCCTCCCACCTCAGCCTTCCAAGTAGCTGGGACTCCGGGAGTGCACCACCATGCCCTGATACTTGTTTTATTTTTTTGTGGAGATGGGATCTCACTATGTCACCCAGGCTGATCTCGAACTCAGGCCTCCTGGCCTGATCCTCCCACCTCAGCCTCCCAAAATGTTGGGATTACAGGCATGAACCACTGCGCCTGGACAGCAAATGATCTTTTAAAAAACACCAATTTGATAAGAAAGATAACAGAGGAGGAGATGACAGCAACGCAGTTGTGGAACCTGGGAACAGAGGGATGAGTGATACCTGACAGAGAGGGCTCCGTTGGACAGGACCTTAGGCTATTTGATTCTCTAGAAGAGATCCAAGTCTATTCACATCTCAGAGCCCTCAAAGCCTCAGGAACTTGCAGCTGCAGGTACACCTGGAAATGGGGATGAATGGGAGTTAAAACAAGAAAGAGTGGAGCAAAAGCTTTTGAAAACCGATAGGCTCTAGATCCCCTACCTCCCTCCAAGCTGTTAGATCACTACTCCCATCCTCTCCCCAACCACTAGCAAAAGTCCAAGGTTTATGCACTAGACTGGGGGAGGCGAGGCACAGCTAAGAGCTGCTGTACTGAAAACGGGGGCTACAGAATCCTGGGACCCCCCTGCCCAGCTTCCTTCCCTTAATCAGTTCCAGAAGCTGATAAGCCAGAGATTTTTACCAGGCAGGAGATTGAGTCTTTCCTAGGGATCTGGCCAGCCCAAATGCAAGACCTCAACTTACCAACACTGGGAGGTTCGCCAGGTGATGACTCATCAAGATCTGGGAGCTTCCAGTCTGCATTTTGGAACTTGATCATGATCTGATGAGCCTCAAATCAGCAGACAGCTTAGGGACGGCTCATCATGGAATAGAGAAAACAAAGAGACAAAGAGGAAAAAAAAAAAAAAGCCGGGCGCAGTGGCTCACACCTGTAATCCCAACACTTTGGCAGGCCAAGGCAGGCGGATCATTTGAGGTCAGGATTTGAGACCAGCCTGGCCAACACGGTGAAACCCTGTCTCTACAAAAAATACAAAAATCAGCCGAGCATGGTGGTGGGCTTTTGTAGTCTCGTCTACTTGGGGGGCTGAGGCAGGAGAATCACTTGAACCCCGGAGGCAGAGGCTGCAGTGAGCTGAGATTGCGCCACTGCACTCCAGTGTGGGCAACAGAGCGAGACTCCATCTCAAAATAAACAAACAAACAAACAAACAAACAAAAACAAAGAGTAAAAATAACAGTGTAAAGAAAGGGACCATGCAAGGTTATCTCCGAAGAAAATCTTTACAAAGTGTATTAAAAACCTCAGAGAGATAAGAGATGTTACATCCACGAAGAGCTAACAAAATGAACAGTCAGAGAACAGAGAGTTGAAGGAGAGTTCTTGGAAATGAAAAGCACAAATGAATGATTTTTAAAAAAGAAGAACGAAAGGATGGCTTAGAGGGCAAAAGGGAGGAAACCTCCTAGAAAACAGAGCAAGAAGACAAAGAAAAGCAAAATAGGAGGTAAAAGTTAAGAACATTGAAAGATCAATTCAAGAGATTGCACATATGAATAACAGGAGTCAAGAAAGAGAAAACAGAGGGAAAGGACTCATACCCGAAATAACTCAACAACATTTCTCAGAAATGAGGGACACCAGTTTTGGGATTAAAAGGATTCAGTTGCTCACCACAGTGGTTGAAAACACCCACACCAAAGTACATTGCTGCAGAACTTCAAGTTTCCAGAAAAACTAGAAGACAAGAAGTAATGCTTTAAAAATTCTGAAGGAAAATTATCTCCAAACTCAATTCTATACCCAGATAAACTACTTCTCAAATGAGAAGAGAGAAAAATACTTCTGCAGACCTCTTCCCCTCTTTCTTAAGAAGCTACTTGAGCCTGTGGTCCACAAGGGAACAAAGCAAGAAAGCGATGACCATAGACACAGGGAGCCCAACCACGGGGAGAGGGCAGAGGGAGTCTGGGTGATGGTGACAAGCCATCCAGGGTATCTACTGAGTCCCGGGCATAGACTGGAGGCAGTGTGAACATCTGCAACCAAGCCCCAGTGCAGGGCTCCCTGTGTGTAATCCCCTGTCCCTCTGAAGTGGACAGACAGGCATGGTGAAAGTCGGAGGAACCACCCTTCTACCGCCAAGGCCCACAGTGAGGCTGAGTGAGGAGGAACAAAGTACTGCGCTTTCCGAACACCAATGGCTAAGCTGGGCACGGTGGCTCACACCTGTAATCCCAGCACTTTGGGAGGCCAAGGCAGGCGGATCACTTGAGGTCAGGAGTTTGAGACCAGCCTGGCCAATGGGGTGGAACCCCGTCTCTACTAAAAATACAAAAATTAGCCAGGCGTGGTGGCACATGCCTGTAATCCCAGCTACTTGGGAGGCTGAGGAAGGAAAATCACTTGAACCTGGGCAGCAGAGGTTGCAGTGAGCCGAGATCACGCGACTGCACTTCAGCCTGGGTGACAGAGTGTGAGACTGTCTCAATTAAAAAAAAAAAAGCCCACCAAAAATGTGAATGGCTGTGCTGAACCTAGGCCTCTGGCAAGAGGCTTCTCACACCGGCCCCCCGCAGACTATGGTGCAGGAGGAAACACAAATGAAGGATTCTCCTCCATCTGCACCTGCATGTGGGCAGCCTCTCTGGCTGTGCCACTGAGCTTTGGGCAAAAGTGACAGTCTCCCCCTTGTGTAGAGCATAAACACGGGACGCAGGAGCAAATTCCGGAGTGTTCTGGGTGCTCTGGAAAACAGGTGAATGGGGCTGAGAGTGACTATGGTAGGGAGCGTGGGGCAGGCCCCCTAGGGAGGGGCATGTGAGCCGGGGCCTAATGATGAGATGAGTGAGTTGTACGAGGATCCTGGGGCAACGTGTTATAGGCAGGGGGAGCAGCAACTGCAAAGGCCCTGGGGGGGTGGGGGATGAGCTCAACACATGTTGAATGAGAGGAAGGAGGAGATGAGTCAGGAAGGGGTGGGGCAGGGCCTGGATCAACTAGGGCTGTGGGGCTGTGGTGAAGAGGACAGGAGAGTTTTAAGCAGGGGCAGGCCTTGATCTCATTTACCTGTTGTCACCACTAATGTCCTGGGACCAAGGTGCCTAATTGCCTTCCAACACCCCTTTCTCCCTTCTGTCTCACTATAGTCCTGAGCAAGGGGCTCAGCTTAAAGAAAACAAAAAGAAAATAGAACAAAAAAAACCCCCTACATTTTCCAGCCTCTCTTGCAGCTAGGTGTGGTCAGTGCACTGAATTCTGGCCAACGAGACGTAAGCAAATGTGTGTGGGACTTCTGGGCAGACTCCTTGAGAAGGAGGAGCTAGACCCTCTTTGCTCCTCCATTTTTCCCCTTCCAGCCTGACATCATGACTGGAAGCCCAGCAGTCTTTCTGGGCCATGAGGAGACCTTAGGATAGAGGCCACATGCTAGGAAGGGGCAACAGATAAACAGAAGGAGCCTGGGTCTCTGATGCACACAGTGGTCCATGAGCCCTAGACGGCCAACCTCCCAGGCTTGTGTGTGAGAAGAGGTATGCTCTGGAGGGGAAGCTGCCACTTTCAGCTCACCCTGACTACTGAGTCGTCTCCAGGGGCGGCTGAGTTCTTACATCAGACCCTTGGAATCATTGGTAGTTTGGGGGTGTTGGCTTCACCTGCCAGTTCCTCCACCCACATGCAGGCTGTAGGCACCTCAGAGAGGGCTGCTACCCTTGGAATCTCAGAGTGTGAAAGAGAAGAGGCCCTTGCGGGAGGGGAGGACCCCCGGGAAAGCACACCCACCTCCTTGCTGTGAGAGGGGACTCCGGAGTCTTCTCTTTGCTGTTTCATGGGAGGAGAGTCACAATGAGTGAAATGACAAGTGTTTTCTATGTTTAAATTTTTATATTCCACCCCTTACTTGGCAACCGGAACCCCCAGGCTACGTTTTTTACACATATAGAATTCCAAGTCCAGAGTTGAAATTTGAGAGCAGAGGCGTCACCCGAATCCCTTGGGGGTCAGCTCATTAAAAATTCAGGTTCCCAGGTCCCTCCCGGAATCCAGAGTCCAGCAGAGCTCCCTGCTCTCCCTCCCATGGCCTTCCCGTCTCCAGGGCTGGCTCAGGCTCTGGATCAGACCTCCTCCTGCTCTTCTCTAAAGGGCCTCCCACAGGCACCCATTAGCAGAGGCGGCAGGCTCCACCCCAGACCTGTCCCAGGCCCAGCTACTTCTCTCACCGGCCCCCCTGGTCCAAACCCCCTCCTCTCTCACTACAGCCTCCTAAATTTTCTGTCACCTCCTCCCCAGTCTCTCCATTCCACACGAGAGCATCTCGGGTTCTGTTTTCTAATGTAAATCAGATCACGGAACTCCCGTGCTGAAGCTTCCAGTGACTTTCTGGCTGCAGTGGAAGGAAATCCAGACTCTTTTCCAGGGCCACACGCTTCCCCCCACTCCCTCGCTCCATCTGCTTCCGTCACTTCCCCCAAACCTCTGAGGCTGGCCCCCATTCCTGGCCTTTGCTCCTGCTGTTCCCCGGCTGGCCTGCCCTCCCATATCCTCAGCAGCCCAGGCCTCAGCTCCCCACCTCCCTCTCCTGCCCCAGGTCCCTGCTCCATCGGCTGTGCTGCCACTGGTGCAGACCACATGCTGTCTTTCTCATTCATTTATCTGCTGGCCTGTCCATCGTCCTCTTCCTTCTCCACTGGAACATGAGCAGGGACCTCCAAGGACATGCCCACCAGAGCCCCAGGGCACAGAGGAACATCTGGCACATAGTAAGTGCTTCAAAAACAATGTTGAATGGACAGACAAACATGTGCAGGGCTTGCCCCACCCCTCGCTGTCCCCTTTAATCCCTGCAGCTGGGAAGACAGTGAGGCCCAGAGGTGTCCAGCTGGCGAGGTGGCCGACCACGGTCCACAAGCAGCTCTCCCGCCTCTCTACTGGGCCCTGCACCCAATGCCTCACTGAGGGGTGGGAGAACCTGTGTGTAGGGGCTTTCCTCCCTTCTTTAGCTCCAGACACTGAGCTGGCACCTGCCTTCCCACTTCCTTCCTAGGGATGCAGTTCCTGGGATTCTCAGTCCCTCCCTGTGTAGACAGATCCAAAGGCCCAAGAAGTAACACGGTACTCGGAGCCGCCGCCTGGTGGGGGTCGTTCCACTCTTTCTATTCAGAAGATGTTTTCCCGGGCTCCTCCTGGTGTTAAATCATTCCTCCAAATTAGCAGGAACACTCATTACCAACCCAACCACCTCCATTAGGCAGGAAATGTGTCTTTCTTGTGGCAGCTCCCCCCAGACCCGGGGCCATCCCCCAGCACTCCCTGGATGGGGGTGGGTGGGAGGCTGGCTGGAAGCAGGGGGTGGAGCATGCACCACTCCTAACTGGAGCGGGGCGTCGGGGGGCGCAGAGCCCTGCCGGGGCGGGTGATAGTCACAGTGGCTTCAGGCTCCTCTTCTGCTCCCTTACCCCTTGGTCCCCCAGATCCCCTGCTCAAAGGGCACACAAGCGCCCTCACTTGTGCGCCCTGCCTCTCTGGTCCTGCCTCCATAGACAGGCCTGTGTGATGGGTTTTAAGGAAGGCAATGAGGGCAGGGGCATTTGTAAAGCAGTGAGGGACCAGACATCACTTACTTATGGGAATTATCTTAAGAGTTCAGTCCTCTCCACCATGGGAGGCTGAGGCAAGAGGATTGCTTGAGTCCAGGAGTTTGAGATCAGCCTGGGCAACATGGTGAGACCCCATCTCTACAAAAAATATATATATATATATATATACAAAAATAAAAAAGAGTTCAATCTTTCCACATTCTAAAGTTTGGATGTGAGCTTTCAAAACAGCTGTGGATGCCCTCTGTCTCCAGGGCCCCAGGGCTCCCCACTGCCCAGCTCAGGGCCTGGAAGCTGTCCTGAACTGGGTCTTCCAACAGGTGTGTTGGAGGACTCCAGCTCACTACAGTTTTCTAACGAGTTACTCACCAGACTGTCTTCAGGGAACAGAAACTGATTAAAAACCAGGCGTGAAATGGCTCATCCTACACAATGCGTATAATAAATATTGATAACAACAACAACGATAATAATAATTTTGCCTACATTTCCCAGGTTGTCTAAGGAAGTGTCAGCAGCACAGTTACACACTGGAGAACATGCAGCATTCGGCTGCCTTAGAATAGCCTCCTTTGGCTCATTAGAGGGGTGTGTGCCCAAGGACAGGGGGCAGCATTTGTTCAGCTCTGGAATTTCCAGCGCGCAGCAGCTCCACACATCATGCCGAGGTGTCCTACGCGTGAGGGAGCCCTTGAGGTCCCAGCATGGGGAAAGCTCCTGTCTAATCGATGGGAGGGTGTGTCGAATTGTTCATTTATCCAATCAGTATTTATTGAGCGCCTACTGTGTGCCAGGCTGTGGATACTCAGAATGAAAACAACTCGGGGTCAGCCCTTGTGGAGTTTCATCTGCTGCAGTGGAAATGGCAAACTAACAAAACCCAAAGCAATCCTGAGAACTTGTTAGAAATGCAGATTCCCAGGCCCTACCTGGACCTGCCTGCTGAGGAGCTGTTCTGCTGCCCAGCCATCTGGATGTCCCAAGCCCTCCTGATGAATCTGATGGACGCTTTAATGGTGCAAGAGCTGGGACCTGAATGACAAGGAGTGGTGAGCCTTGACAAGCCCCAGGGGAGTGTTCTGGACAGAGGGCACAGCTGGGCACGGTCCTGTGCCAGGCAGAGGGCCTGTGTGAGGGAGAACCGAGCGATGGGGCCAGTGAGCTGCAGCCTGGAATAGTGTGGGTGACACCGGGGCAGCTGGCAGGGGCTTCTCAGACCTTCTAAAGACATTTGGATGCCGTTCCAGAGGCGCCACTGCTCTCACCTGCTTCCTGGCCTGGCCTGCTGTGGTGTAGAAACCTTGGACTTCACCTTCGCCTTCTTTCTGGGAAAAGGGCAGAGATCGGCTGTAACTCCTGTCCTATGTCTCAAGAGTTTTCACATTCCATCCAGTGCCCAGCTGGGTTCACTGGTCACTTCTCTCCACCAGTCTAGGAGAGTGGGAGAGGGATGGAGGAGAGACTCCGATTTTCCTAGAAACAAAGAAATGGGTGTGGAGGCGACAAAGGTGGTAGGATCGTAGGGAAAGGCTGGGAGAGCCCCGAAAAAGCAAGCCATGGTGTCAGGATGCTGGAGGGGCAGAAGCCTGGGAGTAAGTAAGGAGAGACTCAGTCACTGTCCCAGTGCCTATGGAGAGACTGGATAGGCCCTGGAACCACCTGTCAAGCTCTCTGGCCACTGGAGACTGGCGTGAGCCCCTTGTCACTCCCTCCCCGCTCCATCCTGCTGCAGTGGTGAGGCGCAGAGCAGTGCAGTGTGGCCGCTGCTAAATCCCTCCCAAGCCACCTCACTGGGCACTCAAGCGACGTGCAGCCCCAGGGGACAGACACGAGTCCCAGGGACCCCATTGGGACAACTGTCCTGCAAGTCAGCTCTTAAGCCCAGCCCATGGGCACTGCCTCAGAGGGCAGGTCAGCCCCCCTTGGAGAAAAGGCTCCTGCCCTGCTTGTTATTCCAGCAGCTCTGGCTGGGAGCAAAGACAAGCCAGCCTGCCAAGCAGACGTTCCCTCCCAGCAGGTAGGCCACAAAATGCAAGGAGGGCTTGAAGACCTCAGAAATTTGGAACTGGTTGGGTGCGGTGGCTCACATCTGTAATCCCAGCACTTTGGGAGGCCAAGGCAGGAGGATCACTTGAGCCTGGGAGTTCGAGACCAGCTTGGGCAATGTAGTGAGACCCTGTCTCAAAAAAGAAAGAAAAAGAAGGAAAGAAAGAAAGAGAAAGAAAGAAAGAAAGAAAAAGAAAGAAGAAAGAAAGAAACGAAGGAAGGAAGGAAGGAAAGAAGGAGGGAGGGAGAGAGGGAGGGAGGGAAGGGAGGGAGGGAGGGAGGAAAAGAAAATAAAAAAATCAGAAACAGCACATCATGAGCTCTGTGAGACCACTCGTTCCCTCTTCCCATTTTCAAAGTCTTTCTTGAGCACCCACATGCACTGGGGACTGTTCTGGGCCCTGAGGATCCCCCGTCTGTGAATAAGACAAGATAGGTCCCCTCTTCCCTGGAACTTCCCGTCCTAGTGGGATGAGATAATAACACGAAGCTAGTAAACGGGAAAATGACAGTGAGGATGCTGTAGGGTGATGCTTCCGGGGGCGGAGGGCTATTAGGCAAGGCCCCAGAGGACCTGACATTTTTGCTGAGACAGGGATGATGAGAGGGAGCAGAGGGACCTGCAGGAAGAGCATCCCTGGCAGAGGAACGGCGAGTGCAAAGACCCTGACAGCAGCGGGCCCATTACCCCCTGCAAGGAAGCCAGGCCTCAGAAGAGGTGGCAAAGTCACTGTCCATTTCCCCCTGGAACAAGCCCAACTACTCACCTACATGGGGTTTCTTCTGGTACCAAGGAATAGTCAGAAAAGAGACCAAATCAAATAGAAGCAGCTTAATATTTTCAGGCTGTTTGCAGGCCCCTGGAGCTCACATTTGGAGGGCTGGGAGGGGGTACCGGCAGAGAGGTGAAGCCAGGGGTTATAGAACGCATCAGCCAGACACAGTGAGGATCCCAGCTCTATTGCTCACCAGCTGTGTGACCTGGGCAATTGCTTCCCATCTCTGGACCTGCATTTTCTCACCTCTATCTTGCTTTTTCGGTTTTTTTTCTTTTTTTGAGACAGGGTCTCACTCTGTCCCCGAGGCTGGAGTGCCGTAGGGCCATTACGGCTCGCTGCAATCTCCGCCTGCCTGGCTCAAGCAGTCCTCCCACTTCAGCCTCTTGAGTAGCTGGGACCACAGGTGTGCACCACCACACCCAGCTAATTTTTGTATTTTGTGTAGAGACAGGGTCTCGCTATCTTCCCCAGGCTCGTCTCAAACTCCTGGGCTCAAGTGATCCTCCTGCCTCGGCCTCCCAAAGTTCTGGGATTACGGGCATGAGCCACCGTTCCTGTCCTCTATCTTGTCAAGTGTAATTCCTGAAAACGGTATTTATGAAGCACCTGGTAGAGGTAGCTCCTCCATCCACAGTGGCTGTGATTGCAACACCCAATTTCGAGCCACGCTCTGTGTTGTTCTGCAGGGCTTATTAAGCACCTCCTGACCACAGGAACAGAAGAGGGCATGATTCCCGCACCCAAGCTCTACACAGGGAGGAAGAGGCATCTGTGGAGAGCAAGGGAAGCACACGGTGCTGGCAGAGTCGGAGAGGACAGGGTCACTGGGGCTGTTGTCTCTCTCTGCCCAGCTTATGGGACTTCTTTTCTTGAAACAGAATCCATGCATCAGAAGTCTCCCCTCCTCCTCCCTTAGTTCCTGCAGATCTGGTGGGGCTCCCCCTCCACCAGGGTCAGGGGTACAATCGGGACCAGACCTGACCTTTCAGCCCTGTGGGCCCCACCGCTCCACGGTGATTGGTCAGGGGTGGAGTAAGCATCAACCCTGGGGCCTTGGCAGAACCCTGGGCAAAGGTTTCTCTTTCCACAGGGGTTGCTAACTGCAGGATGGGCACCTGGACTACTGGGGCCATCCCTCTCCTCCTTGCGGAGGGCCTTCTGAGAATGAAGTCACATAGAAGCCAGAAGAGCCCAGAGATGGAGACCAAGCACCCATGACACTGTTGGAATCCCGGGAACCACCCAGGCCCGGTCCAGCAGCACCATCTCTGGACTTTAAACTGATGTCAGACAATTCTCTTTCAGCTCATGCCAATTTTAATTGGGTTTCTGTTATTACTTGCAACCAAAGATTCCTGACTGATTCAGAGGATTTCGTTAGGAGAGTTAGAGCTTGAGCTTCCGAGAAGGATCTGAATCAATGATTAGGGAGGGACAAGAGTGTGTATTAGGGAATGATAAGAAATGAAATTGAGAGGTGGTATGGATGTGTGTTTGTTGCTGCCCCAGCATCCATTTCCTCCCCTCCCCCTTCCTCATAGAATCTGAAATGTCCTAGTCATGGATTTTGGTAAAATTGACCCCAAATGCAGCTTCAAGGGTGGGCCCACGTTAGCTTAGCTGATAGCATTTTCCATCCCCATGTCCAGGTGGAGATAACTGAATCATGGAGGCGGTTTCCCCCACCCTGTTCTCCTGACAGTGAGTGAGTTCTCATGAGATCCGATGATTTTATAAGGGGCTTTTCCCTTTTTTGCTCAGCACTTTTCCTTTCTGCTGCCATGTGAGGAAGGATGTGTTTGCTTCCCCTTCCACCATGATTGTAAGTTTCCTGAAGCCCCCAGCCATGCTGAACTGTGAGTCCACTAAAACTCTTTCCTTTATAAATTACCCAGTCTTGGGTATGTCTTTATTAGCAGCAGGAGAACAGACTAATACACTCCCATTGCACAGTGATAGGTGTGCATAAATGAAGTAGTGCATAGCCCAACATCAGCATAATCAGGGCCAATGAGGTTCCATTGTGAGGCTTTCGTTTAATCCTGGGAAACATTCCCACTGAACACAAATAAGAAAGTGGCCTTGGAAGCTTCTGGTAGCCATCTTGCAACCATGAGAAGAGAGCCTGCTGAGAATGGAGCCTGTACCAGGGCAGATTCAATAAATGGAAGAACTGGGCCACATTGTTGGAGTCCTGGATCGGGCCACACCTGAAGGAGGATCTACCCTGAACTACTCAGCTACATGAGCCAGTAAAGTTCCTTTGGGCTTAGGAAGTTTGGCTTAGTTTTCTGTCATGTGTAAAAAAGAATCCTGTCTGCTTCAAATGAGACTCAAGGCGAGGCTCCCATTTCCTGGCGTCCCGCCCCGCAGTGGCCTAGGCCAGCACCAATACTCCATCCTCCTAGTCTGCACCTTGCGGCCTCTAGAAAAGAATTTAAATTCTGAGGCCACCAGAATGCAGGGATCCTCTCTAGGGCCTTGGAACTGAGACTCCTGAAGGGGCCAGGGATCGATGGAAGTTTGTCTGCCATGTGGGCTGGAGTGATCTCAGAGCCCCAGACACCCTGGAGGAGGCAATAACTCACCCTGGGTCCTCCTCTGCCCTTCCCCCAGCCCATCCTGGGCAAGGACAGCCATCAATCCCACTTATCAGTCCTCTTATTTCATCCTTTATCCAGCTGTCTTGGATATCACTCCACATCCTTAACTCAGAGTTATGAGAGATTGAGCGCTCGGGCCTGGGCTGGCTGAAGGATTCATGGGTCCAGAGCTGCCCATTCATCAGGGAGAAATTGCAGTGGCTTTGGGGGTGGGGTGGAATACGATTGACTGGGTCAGGGAGAGGGGCCTTTGCTATCAGCAGCCAGAAATATCAAAGTCACGGCAAGGAGGCTGGGGATATTGGGTGAGAAGACCCCTACATTCCTGTGAAGACAATCCTAGGCCTACAGGGTATCAGCAAGACCAGCTCCAGGAAGCAAGGGTTCTATTTCTCAGCCAAACAAGGAGTTGGCTCAACAAATATGGGGCATCCCAGGCAGGGGAACCCAGGAAGATGAGTCCGACTTGCCCCAAAGCAATCCAAAGAATCTCCAAAAAATGTGTATCAGTCCCTGGCTACCCTGGTTAACCGCCCCGCACCACCCCTCCCGCCCCACAAAATGGCTGCCCGCTACAGTTAAAGTAAAACCCCTTCTCCTGACCCCAGCTTCTGAAGTCCTCTTTGATGGAGCCCCTGCCCACCTCACCTGCCACGCCCCAGCCCCTGCTGCCCCTGCCTGTTCTTCAGTCACTCCAGACCTTTGCATTCACTGTCCCCTCTGCCTGGAGACTCGCCCCCCAGGGTCTCACATGGCCGGGTTCCTTGCCACATTCAGGACTCAGGGCTCCAGAGAGGGCTTTCTTGCCCCCTCCTCATCTCCTGCAGCCCCCTGGCTGTTTTGTTCCCTTCACAGTGCTTAGCACTGGCCCAAATCGCCTAATGTTCCTTTTCCCTTTACTTGAAGAGATGCCAACTAGTAACCTAGTCCCTGAGGGCAGGGTTCTGTCTGTCTTCTCCATTGCTGGGTCCCCAGGCAGCCCTCACTGTGTCTCTGGACACCGCGGGCACTCTATAAATGTATGTTAAGTGCATAAACTACCACCCTCCACAGCCAGGCTCCAGGACGAGGCACGTTGGAAAGGGGCAACTGCCCGAGGCTGTGCTGAGAGCTGAGTTTTCCTCGGACCCCACCGGAGTGGCTTCTCTAGGAAACACAGGGGAGGGAGGCTGCTTGTTCGGGAGGCATGGCTGTTTTGTGTCTCCAGGAGGTTGCCATGGGAACGCCCGGCTGTGCAGCAAAGACCCCCCTTAAAGTTAGAGATGTGGAGATATGAAGAGATGGCGCAAGTCAATGAAGTATTGACCAATCATTGCAGAGCCTCAGCCATGGGCAGGGGAGGACTTTCGGGTCACCCTCACCTGCCCTCAACTTTATCTTGCAACTCTTCTCTGTCCCTTCACTCGTACCTTCTCTCATTCCCAGCCTGCTTCTATCTGTGTGGCCAGGAACACCCACTTGGGGGCCACAGGTCCTGTGAGGTCACCCAGGCATCCACCATCCAGGTGTTGGGTGATGGAAGAGGTATGACAGTAAACGCAGAAGTGGGAGATGAAGCATGACAGCAAGCATGTATTGAGCACTTACTGTATGTATTTCAGAATCGATGCAGCAAGCATGTATTGAGCACTTACTGTATGTATTTCAGAATCAATGCAGCAAGCATGTATTGAGCACTTACTGTATGTATGTCAGAATTGATGCTTATACCAATTACTGGACTCAATCCTTACCTGGCCCCAGAGGGGAGGTGTATCAACCCCACTTTACAGATGAAGAAACTAAGGCTCAGAGAGTTTACGTGAAATTTTTGGAAATTCCCACCTAACATGAGGTAATTCCAGCATTAGAACCCAGGGAGTCCAAATCCAGAATTCAAGCTCTTAACCACGCTGCCATCCCAGCAATTCTAAACACAAGCAAGCCTGGTAATTCCTGCGGATTGAATGGTTACTGCAGGCCAGGCACTTTGTTTCCTATATTAGCCCATTTTCATGCTGCTGATAAAGACATACCCAAAACTGGGAACAAAACGAGGTTTAATCGGACTTACAGTTCCACGTGGCTGGGGAGGCCTCAGCATCATGGCGGGAGGCGGAAGGCACTTCTTACACGGCGGCAGAAAGAGAAAATGAGGAAGAAGCAAAGGCGGAAAGCCCCGATGAACCCATCAGATCTCATGCGACTTATTTACTATCATCAGAATAGCACGGGGAAGACTGGCCCCATGACTCAATTACCTCCCCTTGGGTCCCTCCCACGACCCATGGGAATTCGGGGAGATACAATTAAAGTTGAGATTTGGTGGGGACACAGCCAAACCATATAATTACATAGGTGCCTTTGTTATTTCACACTGGGAAACGAAGGGCGTCAGGAATAAAGTTATTCACCCAAGTGGTAGAGTTTGGATCTGCACACTTGCCCAGAGTCCAAGTTTGTGGGCCCTGGACACTGAGGGCCGGAACAGACCCTCCAGCCCGGCCACTCTTAAATTCCAGGGTTTAAGGAAAGGCAACACTTCCTTTCCCCAAACCCCACCATGCCCAGGGCCTGGGGAGGACACTGAGGAAGTCCAGCAACCTGACCAGAGCAAGTGGCCCCGGCTGGGCGGCAAGATGCCTTTGGACCACAGCCGGGAGGGGACGTACACCCCCTGTCTAGGGTCGGGGCCAGGCGGGGTCCCACTCTGCTACTCACATGGGCAGGGCCCTTCTCTGAGCCTGGGCCTCCTCACTGGAAATGTGGAATAACTCTTCTCGCCACTCTAGGGATGTTGAACATGCCTGTGAACGTGTCCATGAACAGGGCCGCCACGGCGCAGGCGAGTCCACCGCTAGGAATCAGATGAATGAGAGAGTCGGTATTTACTGCTGCGAAGTATCCTTTCTTCCTCACCCTCCAAACAGATTCTCTCCAAGGCATTTCAAATGGAGATTAAATTATAAAACTTTAATTCAAATGCAGTTTTCTAGGAATCTGCCAACTGCATGCAGTGGCTTAGAGCCGAGCAGCTCTGCGAGGGCCAAACGCAGCCCGGTCTGGAGGTGGCCCCTCAGCTTGCTGCGAGGACGCACTCCCCAGGCCTCTCCTGGGCTCTTGCTGTCCCTGTCTCCTGGCTGTGCCTTCAGCCATCACCGGGGAACAGGCAGCAGGGGGTGGGGTGGGATGGGATTGGCTGGTGGAGAGAGGGTGCCTATTGTTCTTTTAGGCCATGTTCTGGCGTCTTCCCCCAAAAAGAAACCTCTTTCTCCCAGGCCCTTGGCAAGAAAAGGCATGAGACATCTGACAGAGGGAAGCCAGACATCTCTCTTCATTCCAGAGGGCAAGCGGGGCTTTTCTGGGAAATCCTCCAATTTTCTCTCTGATGCTGCCCCCCGACCACCCTGCCACCAACGTCCAGAATGTCAAAGCTCTAAATAACCTAGCACCTCTCTGTGTTTGCATTAGTTACCCGTCACTGCAATAAAGCTGTGTCACAACCTACTCCAAGAATCTCAGTGACTGAAATCCACAATCATTTCTTTTTTTTGTCCATAGGCTTCAGGCCACAGGTCAGGCTCAGCTCTGCTTCACATGTCACATTCCAGGACCAGAAGCTACCCAGAGGGTGCTCTTCTCACGGTGGCTGGAAGAATGCAAGGAGCCCCTCAAAACCACACACACAGGCCGGGCGTGGTGGCTCATGCCTATAATCCCAGCACTTTGGGAGGCCAAGGCGGGTGGATCACCTGAGGTCAGATGTTTGAGACCAGCCTGTCCAACATGGCGAAACCCCGTTGCTACCAAAAATACAAAAATTAGCTGGGCGTGGTGGTTGGCACCTGTAATCCCAGTTACTTGGGAGGCTGAGGCAGGAGAATCGCTTGAACCCGGGAGGCAGAGATTGCAGCGAGCTGAGATCATGCCACTGTATTCCAGCCTGGGCAACAGAGCAAGACTCCGTCTCAAAAAACAACAACAATAACAACAAAAGCAAAAACAAAAAGCAAAAAGTAAAACCCACACACACAGCTTGAAAGCCTCTGCTCGCATCACATCTGCTAACATTCCGTTGGCCAAAGTGAGTTATGGGACCAAGCCCGACATCGCTGGGGTGAGGATGTGTCCTCAGTCCATTTGAATGGAAGTCACTGCAAAGTCACGTGGCGTTACATTAAATAAACAGCAAAATAACAACAACAACAAAAGTGACCTGGCAAAGGGTGCAGCACTGTGAGTCCATTACAGGGAGGCAGTGCTTACAAACAGGATGGAGTGAGTGTCAGCTGGTCATTGCCTTCAAGTCCGTTTGCCTTTGAGGGGATTCATCTTCCCGCCTTTGGAGGAGATGCATCTCCACTGACTCCATTCCCAGCTATAGGGTGGGCCCAGCAGGCTCAAGACAGCCTGACACCCTATTCCATAGCCACAGTCATTGACTCAAAGATAAGCCTTTGACGTAAATCAACGAAGGACACTGAATCCCCAAAATAAATCCAGAAACCCCCTCCCTTCCTCACCAGAAATAACAAAGAAACACAGAGTCCAAGGGGCTTTTTGGCAACCGACCTCTGCCTCTGAGGGTAACCAGCCTGGGGATGGAGCTGTGGAAAACAGTGCAGAGATTCAGAAAAAACTCGGGTCCTGGGGTGATGGGATTTAGCTGGATCAACCTTTACCTGAAACCTGACTACCGCTTGACTTTTCACTTGTAGGAGCAAATACATTCCCTTTTTGGTTTAGGCCAGTTTGAGTTTCATCCTCCATCATTTGTACCCCAGAGATTCCTGAGTGATAGCGATGACATCAGAGAGAAGACAAGAGAGAAAGAAGGCTTCCCAGCCTTTTCACCTCCTTACACAGCTCCGCACCAGCCGTGAATGTAGGCCCGAGAGGGGCCCATTGCGAGATTTGATCAGCTCCACCAAGAGGGCTCAGAGCCAGCCAGTCCCCCACACTTTGCTGCACCCGCCATGGGCTTCGTCGAGCCAAACAATCACCCCCCTTCATCGAGACCTGCTCACCTCTGGATGCAGCCTGGAGTCGCTGGCTGGCCCCAAGGGCCAGGGAGTCTGGAACTCCTGCCTCATAGAGCAAAGATCCGTTTGCACGGAGTGGGAGAATGTAGGTCATTTTTCAATGCGTGTGGCTATCTTTGGGCAACCATGAATGTCAGAAGTGGGGCTGGGATGGCAGGGCTTGATCCATTGGTATTTGTCTCAGAAGGAGCTGCCTACATCTGCCCACTCACCGAATATGGGGGGATCTGGAAAAGGGGATATGGAGTGTGTTCCCCACAACACATACACTATAAACAGGGATGAGCTTGACTCTCTCTGGACCCCAAAGCCTTACTCCCATCCCTTAGACACTGAGATAAGAGACAACTTTCTTTGTTGTGATTGCTGTTTTTAAATCTTGTTTCATGAAAGAGAGAAAGAGAAAAGGCAAGTCCATTAAGTCATTTATTCCTAATGCTCCAAACACCACCGGCTGCTGGGGTAGTTCAGCAGTAGATCTGGGCTTGCAGAAAAATCAAGAAAATTAGTGCTTGTGAAAGGGGAAGATTGACAGCCCTGGATAGGGGCGCACAGCCTGCCGGCTCCTCCTCTCGCTCTGTGAAGTCCCCTTTCTGCTCCCTCCAAAGCCGCTCAGCACTCCTTCCTCCTCCATCCAACCGCCCACCCCTGGCGCCTCTGCACAGCACCCCCACCCCCACCCCAGCGCAGCTCCACTCCCCTCTCCCCTACAAATCCTCGCTCCGCAGCCTGGACAGACAGTGCCCCCATCAGGCCACACTCAGCCCTGGGCTGTGGGTACTTGTGTGACAAAGACAAACACCCGTGGGAGGATTAGGAGAACACAGGCAAACCTCCACTGGTGACCCCAATTTCAGATTCGAATCCAGGTCTCCAGAAGTGAGTGTGAAGAAAACGCCTAAATTAAAATGCTAATTACCGTCTCCGCAATTCGTAACCAGACAGTCGCTTGTGTCTATTATTAACAGCTCCCGCCGCAGCCTCGGCTCGCCCAGAGACACGGATGATTTAAAGATTCAGGTGCAAGAGAAAATAGCATGAAGCCATGTATGTGTGGTGGAGCGCAGCTGGCGCCGGTGCCACACCCACTCTGCCCAGAGGTGACGAGGGCATGGGCCACCCAGGCCCCTTCCTGGGTGGAAACTTGGGAAGTGGATAGATCAGCCGGACCAACAAGATAAGGTCAACCCTGGTGTTTAAAATACCTGCAGAGGCCAGGTGTGGTGGCTCACGCCTGTAATCCCAGCACTTTGGGAGGCCAAGGCAGGTGGATCACCTGAAGTCAGGAGTTCGATACCAGCCTGGCCAGCATGGCGAAACCCTGTGTCTACTGAAACAAACAAACAAAAAAATGAAAAAATTAGCTGGGCATAGTGGCCTGTGCCTGCTTGTAATCCCAACTACATGAGAGGCTGAGGCAGGAGAATTGCTTGAACCTGGGAGGTGGAGGTTGCAGTGAGCAGAGATTGCACCACTGCACTCCAGCCTGGGCAACAGAGTGAGACTCCGTCTCAAGTAAATAAATAAATAAATAAATAAATAAATAAATAAATACCTGCAGAGCCCTCTATGGCTCCCAGAGGACCTCCATATTTTCTTAATTAAACCCCAGGGTTTAGAGAGCGTAGGAGTTTGAGCTCTGATCCCCAGGCAGGAAGAGGGCCAGGTAAGATTCCACCCTGGGCATGAAGCCCTCCCCGCCACTGGCGGTTCCTGGGATCCGGGACTGCCCAGGTACACAGTGAAGGAGGGAAGGGTTTGCCTGTGGGGAAAATGTGGCCCGTGGGCTGCCTGTTCCCACTGAGCCATGCTCCACTGTCACATGGCCTCCAGAAATCAGACAGAACTGGTCTCCAGGGAGGCCTTGGGTCTTGGCAATGCCCATGGAAGGTACCCAGGCCGAGTGCTGAGGCAGCGGGAGACAGCAGGGAAGGAATAAAGGAGGAATGTGTGACACCCAGTAGAACGGCCGAGCCAGAAAATACCCAAGTGTTCACTCTTCTGTGTTCACTGTGGGCGCACAGGGTGGCCGCACTGCCTGATAAGGACAGAGGCGGGTTTAGATCTCCTCCATAAACTCACTGTCCAGATGCACAGAGGCCACAAGGCCGCGTCCCCCACACATCGTCCTGTAAAGCTGCTGCCACAGTAGCCCCATCGCACCCTGAGATGACCTCGTCCCGCATCTGTGGGCTTGGGATGGGGTCTGCTTGGTGTCCCTAAAACATGGCTCCAGACGCAGAGGGTGCCCTGTGATGTCTTACCGAACCAGTGAATAAATATGTTAGATGCTCTGCCTGAACAGCTTCACACAGGCCTGGGCCGGCTCCTGCCAGCTTCTAGGAGCCAACTGTTAAATATTCAAGATTCATGGCTTTAGTTGTTCAACAATTAGTAGCTTGAGTCAGCCAGGGTGAGAGTATTTACACCACAGCCATCAGCAAAGGCTCCCAGTCCAGGCTGTTTTCTACCCAGCCCCACCCCAAGCAAAACACCAAAAGCCAATCTTCTTAATCTGAGTTAATCTCCTTCACCTGCAAAATCTTCCAAATGCAGGGAAAGTTGAAACACCTCCTGCAGTAGGTCCTGTTCTGTTTCCTCTGATGCTTTAGTTCCTATCTTTTCAGCCACCTCCGGCAAGCCCCAGGGCCCCTTGGAGCTGGTGCCAGAAGAGTTCATTCCCATCACCTCCTCACTCCCTTCCTCAACGCACCACCTGTTCTGCTCGGGCTCTGGCCCCAGGTGGGGTATAAACACCCCCAGTGATAAATGGCCCGGCAAGCAGCAGTGCCGGTGACGCCGGAGCCCTCTGCTCCCTCCACCACCTGTTCTGTCCCAGCTGGAGGGAGGGGTGCTGGAGGAGGGGGCTTCCATCTGAGTCAGAATCATTCATCCTAAGTAATTAGCTGCCAAAGAGAATGCAAACCTGCAGCCGAGGAGCAGAGGTCTCCCCCCAGCCAGCTTCTCCAAACTCCTCCTGCCCCAGACTTGCCTCCGGAGGCAGCTGGGAGAGCTGGAAACCTGAGGAGGCCAGAAAACCATCTGCCAGGGCTCAGGTCTCTTTGCAGATCAAAAGCTAAGCCACTCCTTTCAAGACTGCCTCTGTCAGGCCCTGCCTTGTCCAACCCACAGCTTCCCTCCCAAGGCTGCTGTGCTGGGCCTCTCTCATCCTCTCCTGAGCTGTATTGGTTGAGTTGTATTGGTTACCTGCGCCTAAGGCATCTCAGCCCAGGGCAAGCAAAGGCTGCGCATCATCACCCACTGAGTCAGGCCCTGATCTTGGACCCAAGTGTGGGTAACTGTGTTTGGGTTGTGCCTGATGCCCAGGCCCCATCTTCTGCCCATTTTGGTGCCTTCCCCCATAGCAGGCAATGTAGGTGCCCACTGCAGTGTATGCCAGCCCAACCTCCAGCCACCAGCGCCTGCGACCACATTTCTTTGCCCGAGACCTTTCTCTGCCATCTGGATGCCACTCTGCCCATGTTGCCACGGGCCAGAGTGCTGGAAAATAGGGCCCCCCGAGAGAGGCCATCAGCCAGTAACTGATAGGAGCTGGTGTCTAGGTGCCCATAACCCTCCCCTTGTGTGGGGTACTCTCAGGCACGCTGTCCACACTGAGCCCAGCCCTGCAGGATGGAGCTGTGGTTGCCCACAGTTGGAACTCACTGAGAGCGCTCCCTCTCCTGGCTGCTCCTTTCCCTTTCCCATTCCCCTACCACCTCCCAAATTAACTACTTGTATGGGAAACCTTGTCTCAGGGTTCGCTTCCAGGGGGATGCAAACTAAGGCTGCCTCCTTCCAATGCATGACTGAGCACCTGCTGTGTTCCAGGTGCTGCAGCGAGAAAAGGACACAGGTGTGCAGGCTGTGCCCTGGGCTGGGCCCATGTGGGAGGATAGGCAATGGACAAGGAATCAAATCATATCCTCTTACATGGTCTTAAACACAATGATGAAAATGCAACCGGATGATGGCAGTGATGGGGAAGAGTTTGTTTTAGAGGAAGAGAGGGCAGATAGGGAAGAGCGGATCTCTCCAAGGGAGGGTCAGCCATGCAGAGAGCTGCGGGAAGAAGATTCCAGGCAGAGAGAACGGCAAATGCAAAGGCTGTGTGGTGGGAGTGAGCATGGTCGGTTTAGGAACACATAGAAGGCATTGTGGTAGGAAGGAGGTGTGCCAGGAGAAGGTGGAAGAAGTGAGGTAGAAAGAAACGCTGAGGCTGGACCTGGTGGGCCCCTGCAGAGCATGAAAAAGAGTCTGTGGGTTCAGGAGCACGGGAAATCTTGGGCAGGGTTGAGAGGGGAGGAGGAGGTTTGCTCAGCACCACAGAGCATCGCTCAGCCTGCTGCGTGGAGACTGGGTGGAGCAGGGGCAGGAGTGGATTACAGAGGCACCTGGGGCTCCCCCCCGTCATCTAAATGGGAGACGTTGGTGCTTGGAGCAACTCCGTGTTCTCTGCAGGTGAACCTTCCATTTGAAAACCTGCCCTTTCTCTGCTGAGGACCAGTCCCTGGCCTGTGAGTGCCATTCCCCAGGCCCCTCCAGGTTGGGGGTGACCTCCAAACCTCAGGCTAATGCCTGCTTCCTTGTTCCCTCTGGAGTCCCCCACAATGCCACATGTCCCCGCCCACCACCTGCCCAGGGAACATCCTTGCTCCCCATGACTGGGCATCACTAGGGGCCTCCCAGCTTTTGCCTGCTCCACAAGTGAGCAAGTGTCATTCCAGATCGAAGCACCACTGCCACCCCGACCCTGCCTTCCCCAGTCCAGCCCCCAGAATGGCCCCTCCCAGGGCCCAGGGCAATGATCATTTAGTGGCACCATGGGCTCGCAGCAGCTTTCCCTGAGTTCCTCAGAACACATTAACTACATTATTTTTCACTCAATATCCATCAAGAAACCCTTGAGAGAGCTGAAGGACGTGGCTTAGCCCTAGTTTACAGATGGGTTGTACAAATAGAAAGGTTTCCACATTTTTCAGGAGCACCGAGGAACAGAGCCTTGGTGAATCCTAAACTGGCATCAATCACAAATGGGCACAGTTAGGGGAAGAGTTGTAAGCCTTGTATGGAAACCAGGTTTGGGGCCTTGCTGCCTGCCTCTGCTGGGGAACAGACACCACAGACCCAGAGACCCCGCAGACCCCTGCTGGGGGACTAGGGGAGAGCTTGCTCTTGCTCTCTCAGGAGGGCCCCGGGTTACCTGCCGGGCTGGCCCCATCCTGCTTCAGTACTGAGCTTTACTGTATAACTCTAATGCTCAGGGCATGGTGGCACACGCCTGTAATCCCAGCATTTAGGGAGGCCAAGGTGGGAGGATTGCTTGAGCCCAGGAGTTCAAGACCAGCCGGCAATCTCTCTTTTGTAGAGATAGGGAGTCCCTATCTCTACAAAACATATGAAAATTAGTCAGGCATGATGACATACACCTGTGGTCCCACCTACTTGGGAGGCTAAGTCAGGAGGATTGCTTGAGCCCAGGGGGTTGAGGCTGCAGTGAACCAAGATCGTGCCACTGCACTCTAGCCTGGGCAACGCAGCAAGACCTTGTCTCAAAAAACAAAAGGATAACTCAAGGGCCACTGAGAACTATGTTCTGGGTCCAGGGCAGGAGCAAGAAGAGGGCTAGCAGAGGAAGGCAAGAACGGGAACAGAGAGCATGCGAGACTAAGCTTTCTGTCTCTGTCTGCCTCAGCCTCCTCATCCGTAAAACGGGGGAATATAATTCCCTTCTCCCAGGGCAGCAGGTGTGATCATGGCTGTGAGCACACTTAGGGGTCTGGGGCATAGACTGCCAGTTATTCCTCACTGCCAGTGTCTATTTTCCCCTCCCTCTGCCCTCCCCTCCCTTCTGGCTCATGGCTGCCAGAATCGGCACTCTCTCCAGCCTCCCTGCCACATGACTAAATTCAGACCATAACGCTGTAAGCATGAGTGTAGCGTGCAGTTCTGGGAAGTGTCCTCAAAGGGAGAACATGTCCTTCTCAGTCCCTTTCTCCTCTTGGCAGCTGGAACTAAGCAACCACCGTGGCTGGTAAAGTGGAGGAGGTCTCCTGCAAAGGAGGTCGCCCTCGACTGACCGGAGAAGGCTCTTCTAGTCCCAACTCCTGCCTGCAGGCTCTTGATTGTTTGAGAGAGAAATAACTTCTATCTTGTTTACAGTGCTGCTCTTTTCTTTCTAGTGGCTTCTATCACTCCTAGCTGAACCTAATCCTGTTCGCTGTAGACCAGAACCTAGATCTGTCTGTCCCCAGGGCCCAGGCCCACCCACCAGCCCACTGCTCTGTGGGTCCTCGTGAAAGGCCATAGTGGTTGGAGGGGTGGCTACCGCTCCAGATTCGTCAACAAGCTGCCCAATAAGGCAGGCGGCCCTGGCTCGGCTGAGCCCCCGACGCAGCTCAACTAGAAGGTGCTGGGGGTGACCCCCACGGGGTTTCTGGAACAGGCTGGAGCTTTGGCTTTGAGAAGGACAGGAAAAGAGCTTGAAGAATGGGAAGGCTGAGGACAAGGACAGTGACTGGAAATTACTTGCTGGCTGGCTTCAATCCAGCCTCTGGCAAAGCAGAAAGGAAATTCTCAACTGGTCCTCACACAGTTAGAAGAACGTGGTGATGAGGCGGTCTCAGATGTCCCATCCTCATCCTCTGACTCGGTCCTTGTACCCATTGCACAGAAAGGAACCAATGGCTCCCCTTCCACCACCTGGGAGCACGAGCCAGCTGGTGACCACAGAGTGGATATCATCTGTGTCTCTCCAGCCCCACATCCGTTCGTCCTTCTCGGTGCTAACAGCACCCAGTTTCTCTCTGGGAGTCCCCACCGTCCCCGCTTTCAATCCATGAGCTTCAGATGTAGCAGACCTCGCCCCAGGGTCCAAGGCTGCCATGTGGCTCAGGCCAGGCCAGAGAACTTAAATTTCTCCAACTACCATGATCGACCAGGGATGGACATGTGACCCAGTAAGACCCAGTGAGACTGGAGGGGACGTTCTTTGTTCCTGGATTTGACCCTGGGAAGGTATAACCCTTTTACTACCACATGGAGCCTCAGGACGAAGCTAATGTGGAAACGAGCAGAGCCAAGAGACAGACAGGAGCCCTCCTGGTTCTAGACGGCTCCAAGCTGAAGCTCTCATCAGCCCTGGACATGTATATACCAGCAGATTTCTTCCCCATCATCACCCAGAGCAATTTGCCTACGTACATTCTAGTCTCTCTGACTGGAACGTCATTCCTTCTCCAGCTGCCAAAATCCCCTCCAGCATCTTCAGGCAAATGTAAACTGCCCCCCGCCCCCCGCACCAAGAAGGAGCTGGCTCTCTCCCCTGCCCCAGTTGAGCACAGATCACATAAATGGGAACCATTTTCACGTGGGCTCCGCCTCCCCACAGGAGTCTCTTCAGCCCAGGACCTGCGTCTCCTGTAACTCTGTATCCAGCACCCAGCATCCAGTAGGCGCTCACTAAATACCGGTTGAATAAATAAATGAATGACTGCAGAGAAGCAAGCTAATCGTTCATCAAGTTTATGGATGACATGAAATTGGGAGCAGTTGCTAGCCAGAGGTTAGAATCATAAAGCAGATTGGCTTTCGCAAATGAGACTACAGCAAGACGGAATCGGAATTGGATGACGTTCATTAAGTAACTAGTTTGAGGAAGTCGTCGCCGGGAGTGTGTGGGAGCTGGGGATATAATGGTTTCTGTGCACGTTCCAAGAAAAGCTGTGGGTGGCAGGCTGGACAGGTGGCGAAAGAAGTTGGCTGTCAAGAGCTGGGGTTAAAATGGGGTCGAGGTCAGTTCATGGGCTTGTGACAGGCAAAACCCCAACAAGTTCTTCTGCCACCAGAAGCCACCCCTAGCTCTGTATTTTGGATGCAGGGGAAGCAAGGGAAAAGCTTTTAAAGTACAGAGGACAAATTGGATTTCTGAAGTCGGGTTAAAGAAACTGGGGTTGCTGCATCTGGAAGCAAAAACAGGAAAAACCACTTCCCTGAATGGGCTTTAATGAGGGGTGCCACTCCCCAGAGTGGGGAAGGCACTCCCGCTCGCACCTGGAAGAGCCCTGTGTCCCAGAAGAAGGGTGACAGTCAGGGAAGTGGTGGCAGCCCGCCCTGCCCCCACTGCAGCCTCCAGAGCTGCCGCCACCCCTGCTGTTTACACTTTTATCGTTTGCAATGAAAGACGATGATGTGTGTGCGCTGTATTGATTGTGCCTCTTAGATTTTTATGTCATTGTGGAAAGCAGCAATTATGGTCGCCTGCTCTGGAGGGAGCAAACAGCCCTAGGGGAGGATGAGGCAGGGCCAAGAAGATGGAAAAGGCAGCCCGAGGGGTCCCCTGCTCAGGAGCTGGGGGTGTGAGGTAGGCAGGACAAGAGAGGGACTAGCTGAGCCTGAGAAGGGCCGGCTGGATACGCCCTACCCCAGGCTGCAGACATTTATTAAGCACCTGGGGCGTGCCTAATACTCAAATCTTTGTCCCATATCCTTCTGAAAGCCCCCAGTGGCTTCCCTTTTGCATTTAGAATAATGCAAAACATGTCACTGTGCTTACCAAGACATGTCACCTGGCCCTGCCCAACTTGCTGGTCTCACCTCCACCCTCACTCATTGCCCTCCGGCCCCCTGGCCTTCCTCCCCACAATCCCTGTCCTCTTCACACTCAGGTCTCAGCTCCAGCGCCACCTCCTCACAGCCCAGTCACAGAGACTCCGTGCCATGTGCACACCAGTCTCTATCACATCACCTCCCTTTTTTTCTTCCTAAGACTTTTAGGAAGCCTTGTCCACTCTCAGATGGCTTCCTGTTTGTGGGCTCATTGTCTCTCTCACGCAATGAGATGTAAATGCAAACAGAATGAGGGCCAGGCGCGGTGGCTCACCGCCTGTAATCCCCCCACTTTGCGAGGCTGAGGCAGGCAGATCACTTGAGCTCAGGAGTTCGAGACCAGCCTAGCCAACATGGTGAAACCCTGTCACTACCAAAACAAAACAAAACAAAACAACAACTTTAGCCAGGCATGGTGGTGCATGCCTGTAGTCCCACCTACTTGGGAGGCTGAGGTGGGAGGATTGCTTGAACCCAGGAGGCAGAGATTGCAGTGAGCCGAGATTGCAGCACTGCACTCCAGCCTGGGTGACAGAGTGAGACTCTGTCTCAAAAATAAATAAATAGATAAGGAATGGGAACCTTATCTCTTGTTCACTGCTCTGCCACCAGCACCTAGAGGACTTCCTGGTACACAACATGAGTGGAATGAATATTGATAAATATAATTAGCTCCAGTGAACAGTAAAGGAAACTGAGGCCTAGAGAGTGTATTAATCAGGGCTGTGTTTGTGAGTAACAGAATGCCCAACTAATACCCAGAGGTGGGTGATTGCTGGCACTGGCCCAGTTGCTCAGTGATATCCTTCCAGGCCAGGGAACTTCCCATCTTCCTGCCAGCCTTAGGACATTACTCTTAGCTTGCCCCTCATGGTCACAAGGTGGCTGCTGCTGCTCCTGACATCATGTGGCCTTCTAAGCCGGAAGCAGAGGAGAAGGCCAAATTCTGATCCAGCTGAGTCTATCCCTCTTTTTACTGGGCCCTTTCCACTCCCAGAACACCCTCAAAGATTCTTTCTCCAGCTCATTGGCCAGATTGGTGGCACTTGCCGCAAGAGAGATTGGGAAACTGAGCTCTCCAGGCTCCGCCTTAGAGGAAAGCAAAGAGAAGAGGGTTGGACAGGAAAGTGGGCCAGCCTCAGTGACAGCCATGGGGGGGTGAGGTGACTTGCCCATGGTCACAACTACACAACTGCTGGCTGACTCCAGGGTCCATCCCTATTTGTCATACCCTGGTGCTTCCCTCCTGGCACCTGTGTCAGAGAGAGAAGGCACTAGAGCAGATAGCGCAGGTGCCCTCAGGTCTGTCGCCTGGCCACGTGCAGTTGTGTCTAAGCTGCCTGTCTTGATCAGCTCCCAACATCTGCCTCCTTCCCACGACACACCCCAGTGCTCCGGCCACAACAATCCACCCAGTGCTCCCTGACCCACCCAGTCCCTAAGCCCTCCTCTGGCTCTATTCACCTGTTGCTCCTGGCCAGAGTCCCTGCTCACCCTGCAGCACTCCGCTCATCCTTCCAGGACCAGCTCAAATGTTGCCTCCTCCAACTCTTTCTCTTCTCCCTCTGTCATTTGGCACACATGACGTGCCTAGGTCAGCTCAGGGTGCTCCAAGGTACCCTTATATAGCTGACACTCCAGAGGAAGAGACAGGCCATAAGCAAATAAACAACAAAATAAGACCATTTTACAAAGGCACCAGTATTGTAATAAAAACAAAGCAGGGTGATGTGTTAGACACTGGGAGGTTGTGCCAGGCAGAATAATAGCCCCCCAAAGATGTCCTCAGTCTAATCCCTGGAACCTGTGACTATGTCAGGTCACACTCCAAGGAGAGTTAAAGGTGAAGATGGACTTAAGGTTGTGAATCATAAAGAATCTGGCTGGCCTTTGTACCCAGTTCCTGGGAGGTAGCCTCTAAATCCTTAGAATTTCCTGAGTGATGGGTGTCTTGTTACTTGCAGTCACTCAGACAATAGCTGTTACTTTATGCCAAGGAGGTGGCTCAGGATCAGGGCTGGACATGCCAGAAAGACCAGCCCTGTGATGAGAGGGTGGGGCTGTGAGCCACACATGATATCAGCCCGACCTCCATGGAGGAGAGGGGGATGGAGATGGGGTTCAGCTTCACGGCCAATGATGCAGCCCATTCAAGCAATTGTGTCCATGTAATGAAACCCCAATAAAAACTCAACACCAAAGCTCAGGTGTGCATCCCTGACTGACAATACTCTGTTTTGTCACACGTTGATGTCTCAGAGGGGGATGCGTCCTGACTCCACAGGGAGATCATGATGGACACTTCATGTTTGGGACTCTCCCAGACCTCACCCTGTGGGTCTGTCTCTTGGGTTGGTTCTGATTGTATCCGTTTATCATCGTAAGTATAGCCCTTTCCTGAGTTCTGAGTCATTCTAACAAATTATCAAACCTGAGGGTGCAGTGAGAGCCCCTGAATGTGTAGGCAGCTGGTGAGAAGTGGGGGTGGCCTGGGGCCCCTTGCTCCTGTGGCTGGTGTCTGAAGTGAGGGCAGTCTTGCGGAGGAATGTACCCTTAGCCTGTGGAGTCTGGCCTAATTCCAGGCAGTTAGTGTCAGAAGCCATTGCAGGTGGCTCATGAGCTGACCTTGAGTTGGGGACGTTGTCCTGAATTATCTGATAGGCCCAGTAGAATCACAAGAGTCCTTAGAGATGGAAGAGGGAGACAGAGGGAAGAGAACCAGAGAGTGAGAGTGCAGGAGGGACTCAGCCCAACTTGAAGGGGGAAAAGGGGGCCATGAGGATGGGGGAGGACAGGTGACCTCGGGCAGCTGGAAGAAGCAAGGAAACAGACTCCCCCTACGAGCCTCCAGGAAGAACACAGCCCTGCCCACACCTTGATGTTAGTCCAATGGGACCCAGGTTGGACTTGTGTCCCCCAGGACCGTAAGATATAAGTGTGCATTGTTTTAAACATCTAATCTTGGGGTGGTTTATTACAGCAGCAACAGGAAACTCATACAAGGATGCTACTTTGTGTGGGGAGGGTCAGGGAAGGCCTCTCTGAGAAGGTGGCAATTAGGGTGAAACTTGACCCTCCTCCTACCCCCTTATGTCACGCTGTTGCTGGCTTTGTTTGGAAGATGCCCACAAATGTGGACCTTACCGGATTCCGCTTTGTACACCCACAACTTACTGGAGACCAACAGGGACTAAGTTTTCAATAATGTTTTTCCTCACAGTAATTTATTTATTTGTTTATTTATTTAATTTCTTGAGACTGAATCCCACTTAGTCGCCCAGGCGGGAGTGCAGTGATGTAATCATAGCCCACTGCAGCCTTGAACTCCTGGGCTGCAGCAATCCTCCTGCTTTGGCCTCCCAAGTAACTGGGACTACAGGCGTGCACCACCATGCCCTGCTATTTTTGTTGTTGTTGTTGTTGAGACAGGGTCTCCTTATGTTGCCCAGGCTGGTCTCGAACTCCTGGACTCAAGTGATCCTCCTGCCTCATCCTCCCAAAGTGCTGGGATTACAGGCGTGAGCTCCCATGTCCAGCCATGGGTCAGTTTTCATGGGAACATAAGTTTTCATTTCTGTAGAGTAAATCCCCAGGAGTGGAATTGCTGGGTCACATGGTAAGCATATATTTAACTTTATAAACAATTGATAAATCAATTTCCAGACGGGTGGTGCCATTTTGAGTTCTCATCAGCAATGTGTGAGCATTCCACTTGGTATTGTCAGAACTTTTATTTTATTCATTCTAGTGGATGTGTAGTTGTACCTATTGCCCTAATGGATAATGATGTTGAACATCTTTTCATATGCTTATTGGACATCTTTATATCCTCTTTTGTAAAGTATCTGTTCAGATCTTTTGTCCAGTTTTTAAATGGGTTTTTTGTTTTCTTACTGATGGCAGCAGTGGCTCCATCATGCCGGCTGCAGCAGGGAGTCACAGCCAGGGCTGCACAGGTGGGGACAGACAGGAGTCCCACCCTTTCCAAGCTGGGGTAGGAGCTCCCCAGGTGACATTGCAGCCACCCAAGTCCTGGCTGCGGATCCGAGTCTCCCTGTGCTCTTGTGGGGCCAGGAACAGACAGGAACCCTGCCCTCCTGGGTGCAGCTGCAACCGCCCAAACCAAGGCTGCAGACCTGGGCTTCCCACTCCAGGAGCAGACAGGAGCCCTGCCCCCACCCCCCACCCCCAAACTGCTGCTGCAGGCTCAGGCATCCCTGCACTCTTGGAGGCTTGGGAAGTCCCCCTGCCCTTGCAGGCTTGGAAGTGCCTGCTCCCCTTGCCTGGCTTCTCCTTGCTATCAGGGCTGAGCCCAGTGCCATGAACTGCAGCAGGAGGCAGACAAATTCCTGGGCAGAAGGCGGCAGTCCCCAGTGAGGCTCCATCTTCAGGCCAGGGAGAGCCTGAAAGCTGGGGGCCAGGCTTCCAGTCCCACTGACCCAAGTGTCTTTTCTGGGTCTGCCCATGGCCGCCCGTGGACCAATCAGCATGCACGTCCCCGCCTCTGAGGCCCATAAAAGCCCTGGGCTCAGCCAGAGCTGAGCAGACAGTGGGATGACTAGCAGCAGAGAGGAGCTTCACACTCCAGGGTCTCCTCTCTGCTAGGAGCTGAACACTCATTGGGACACCCTGGCTGCAGAAAGGAGCTACCCCCTGTAGGTCTCCTGTGAGTTGTTCTGTTGCTCAGTAAGCTCTTCTTCATCTTGCTCACCCTGCACTTGTTTGCATACCTCATTCTTTCTGGCTGCAGGAGAAGAACTCGGGACCGCCAAATGGTGGAGCTAAAAGAGCTATAACATGAACAGGGCTGAAACACGGCCCTTGCTCACCACATTGCAGGCGAAGAGGAGAGAAGACCTGCAGCCCTTTAGGGAGCCCAGACCTGGGAGGCCTCTCTGAGCTAGGGCTGTGACTCCCTCTTTGGGGTCCTGCAGTGCCTGGAATCTCCAAGCTTCTGGGTGCCACTGCATTTCCCAGTGCCAGCCGGGGAAGCTACCTGCAATGCACCTGGTCCAGCCACAGCCTCACAGAGAGCCGGCACCTGTGCTGCCCTCCCCACTGCAGGTGTGTCTGACTGCACAGAGGCGGGACCCCACACTTGCTCACACACCCCTCACCGCTCCACGCCTGACTCGTCCTTGGCAGATGTGGGATCCAGGCTGGTAGTGTGAGCCGAGTGCAGCCTGCCAGGCCGAGTGGGTGGAACAAGCCAGTGGGCCTGAGCAAAACTTGGGCAAAGGCACCACCGCCAGAGGTTTCAGGCCAGAAAGTGACACCCCAAAGATTCCGTGACATTGCTGTTAAGTTTTGACAGTTCTTTATATGCTCTGAATACAAATCTCTTGTTGGATATGTGGTTTGTAAATATTTTCTCCAAGTCCATAGCTTGTCTTTTTATTCTCTTAACAGTCTCTTTCTCAAAGCAAAAGTTTTAATTTTGATGAAACTCGATTTATCCTTTTATAGACTGTTTTTAATAGCATGCCTACAAACTCTTTGTCTAATCACAGGTCATAAAGATGACCTTCTATGTTTCCATTCAAAAGTTTTATCTATAATCTATTTAGAGTCCATTTTTGAGGTCTGGCATGGTGGCTCACACCTGTAATCCTAGCACTTTGGGAGGCCAAGGCAGGAGGATCACTTAAGCCAGGGAGTCTGAGACCAACCAGCATGGGCAACATGGTGAGACCCCTTCTCTACAAATAAAAAATTAGCCAGGCATGGCTGGGCGTGGTGGCTCACACCTGTAATCTCAGCACTTTGGGAGGCCGAGGCGGGTGGATCATGAGGTCAAGAGATCGAGATCATCCTGGCTAACACAGTGAAACCCTGTCTCTACTAAAAACACACAAAAAAAATTTGCTGGGCATGGTGGCAGGCGCCTGTAGTCCCAGCTACTCAGGAGGCTGAGGCAGGAGAATGGCGTGAACCCGGGAGGTGGAACTTGCAATGAGCCGAGATCGCGCCACTGCACTCCAACCTGGGTGACAGAGCAAAACTCCATCTCAAAAAAAAAAAAAAAAAAAAATAGCCAGGCATGGTGGAGCACACCTATGGTCCCAGCTACTCAGGAGGCTGAGGTAGGAGCATCATCTGAGCCCAGGAGGTCAAGGCTGCAGTGAGCTGTGATTGACCACTGCACTCCAGCCTAGGAGACAGGATGAGACCCTTCCTCAAAAAAGAAAAAATAGAGTTAATTTTTGTGTAAAATGTAAGGCTTAAGTTATTTGTTTTCCTATGAATGTATTTGATTTTAATTTATTTATTTAACTTTTTACTATATCTCTTTGAATAGTTTTTTTAGAGGTTGTTCTAGAAAATGCAATAGACATACTTAACTCTTCTCAGTCTACTTCATGTGAAGTGTAAAGAACTTACTGCTGTGTAGGTCCCTTTATCCTCTCCCTTTTATGTTATATTTGTCTTCTATATTACATCTACAGCCACTGAAAACCCTACCACACAATGTTTTTTTGTTTGTTTGTTTTAACCGTCAGACATATTTTAAAGAGCTCAACAAGAGAAAAAATAGCCTATTATATTTATCCAAATATTTACCATTTCCTCTGCTCTCCATTTATTCCTGATGTTACACATTTCCTTCTACTATGATCTCTTTCTGTCTAAAGAATTTGTTGTAGCAGTCTTTTAGTGCAAGTCTCCCAGTAACAAATCCTCCTAGCATTCCTTCATCTGAAAATGTCTTTATTTTACCTTCATCCAGAAGGTATTTCTTCTAAAGACTTATGATTTGACAGTTCTTTTCTTATTTTGTTTTGTTTTGTTTAAGCACCTTAAAACTGTCGTTCCACTTTTGCTGGCCTTCATGGTTTCTGATGAGAAATCCAGAGTCATTTGAATCATTTTTCCCCTATAGGAAATGTGTCATTTTTTTGGGCTTGCTTTCAAGATTTTGTCTTCATTTTTCATTGTCAGAAGTTTGATTATGATTTTCTGGTCACAGATTTCTTTGGGTTTCTTCTGTTTAGGATTCACTGAGCTTATTACATCTGTAGGTTTATGTTTTTCACCAAAGTTGGAAAATTTTCACCATGATTTCTTTACATATTTTTTCCAGACCCTATTTATTTCTTCTCTCCTTCCAGAATTCAAATGATAAGAATGTTAGAACTTTTGGTGTTTCCTCATGGGTCCCTGAAGTTCTGCTCATTTTTTAAACACTCTTTTTTGCCTGTCATTCAAATTGGATGACTTCTATTGATCTATCTTCAAGTTCACTGGATTCTTCCTCTATCATCTCCATTTTGCTATTGAGCCCATCCAGGGAGATTCTTGTTATTGTCTTTTGCAGTTCTAAATTTCCACTTGGTTCTTCTTGGTATCTTGTTTCTTGGCTGAGACTTTCCATTCATTTCAAGAGTGTTTGCTCTTACACATTGCACCACTTTCATAATAGATGCTGTAAAGTCTGATATCTCAGCAAAGTAGCCTCAGCATTGGCATCTTTTCCTGAGTGAGTTGAGCCTTTCCTGGTTCTTTTTTTTTTCTTTTTGAGATGGAGACTTGCTCTGTCACCCAGGTTGGAGTGCAGTGGCACAATCTCAGCTCACTGCAACCTCCACATCCCTAGTTCAAGCGATTCTCCGTCTCAGCCTCCTGAATAGCTGGAATTGCCTGAGTCACTGGAATTATAGGCACACGCCACCACACCCAGCTGATTTTTGTATTTTTAGTAGAGATGGGGTTTCACCATGTTGGCCAGGCTTGTCTCAAACCCCTGACCTCAGGTGATCCACCCACCTTGGCCTCCCAAAGTGCTGAGATTACAGGTATGAGCCACTGTGCCCAGCCACTCCTGGTTCTTTCTATATAGAGAAATTTTTGGTATTTTTCTGTTAGCAGGCAAATGATCCAGGTGAGTTCAGGTCATAAGTTCCCAACAGCCTCCTGTGGCCTGTGGTTCCAATGTCAGTTCAATTTACAAAGTTTTGCTATTTATTCATTTTTTTATTACTTATTTTATTTTTTTGCTATTTCACTATTTGAATCTGCCCCGTATGTACCACCCCATGGCTAATCTGGGATTTGAGCAGTGCACTATCCCGTAGTTCAGTTCTCAAGTATGCAGTTTAAGGTCTAATCCTGTACAGATCATGCACATTTTGGGAAGGAGCCCAGGATTTCACAAACAACTTTAAGGGATCACTTTTTCCAGCTCTTCTCTCTCTGAGATCTCTCCTATACTTTCTGGTTCACTGAGGTTCCCCTTGTCCAGTGCTTGGGCCAGAAATCTGGGGCTTTATTTCTCCTCTGCCATGCATTTCCTGTGACTGTATGAGTTGAGCCCAAGCACCAGAGATAGCAAAGCAGCAGGGGTTTGCCCCACCTTCATGGACCACGGCTCCTCCAACTGGAGAGGAAAATTCCCCTTCCTTAGAGTTTTAGGTTCCCGCCAGCTTTCGCTGCTGCTGTTGCTACTGTTGCTAGTGCTACTGCCACATCATTGCTTAGGGGCTGTGGCAGGAGAGAATAGAAAAAGAGAAAAAGAAAAAAAAATAGGAGGCTTCTTCACTCACCGGGAGCAGTGGAAGACCCCTTTCTTGGTCCCGAAGCCAGAATCAGAGGGTTTTCCCTGGAGATCTCTCTATAGATGCTGATATCCACTTCAAGGTTTTTGGCTGCATTGAATTCAGGGGTTTCAATTCAGGGGATATTGGATGGGGGAAAAATAGTAAACTTACCACCAATTTGGTGTTACTTTGATAACTGGTCTTTTTTTCAGAGACTTAAAGGAGGTAATTCATGCAATTAGTCCAGGTTTGAAGCTGCATTTTGTGGGAGAGACAAGGTGGAGTGTGTCTACTTCATCTTACCTCCAACTAGAACCTCCCCACTAATTTTTAACAGACCCAGTGCATGCATACATGGTGCTAAAGCCATCACCGAGTAAGCGCCTCTTATGTCAGGCACACCAACAGAGTTTTATGCTCACAGACTTATGCTCAGGCAGCTCAGGGTTTGAGCCCCTGGCCCTCCATCCAGCTGTGTGATGCCAGGCAAGAATCCAAATGTATATGATCCTCAGTTTTCTTGCCTGTAAAACAGGGACAATTGTATGAGGTAGCAAGGTTGAGACACCGTAACATCTATAAAGCTCTTTATCTCAAGACCTAGCACATAATAAATGCTCAAGAAATAATAGCTACTTTTGGTATATTATTATTATTACTCATTTTGTTGCAAGCAGAGTCCTGGGGTTGCAAGCTACAGAGAGACTCTGCCCATATTAAGCAAAAAGGGAAGGTAAATTTGGGGTTATCTGAATCCACGGAGGCTGGGGGACCAAATCTGAGAGCACCAAGGACTGAAGACTGGTTGAGGGTCTCAGCTGAGTTTACTTCTGGCCCCACAGCCTGGGACAAGCTGCCCTAGAGCTTCCACTGTGAGAGGTAGCACCATCACTGCTCTCCTCAAAGACCACACTTGGTGGGGAACTTTCCAGAGGGAAACGGGGACTAACAAGCAAGGGGGGCACAGGTTCTAGAAAACCCCCCACAATAAAAAACCCTTCCCTCTTATTAGTTATAAGACCAAAGGCAATTAACCTAACCTCTCTGCATGTCTGTTTTCTCACCTGTAAAGTAAGGCAAATAATATGAACTGAAGACTTAATCTGATAATGTCAGAAAGGAATGATGACTCAGGATCAGGCAACGAGCAAGTGCTCGATTATAAAGTATGATGATGATGATTACATATGGCTGCACATTCAATCCTCACAACCACCCCTGGGTGTTATTGACCTCGCTCTCTGGATGGAGAAACTCACAGGGAGGCAGTGATCTGGCCAAGGACATGCTATGGCCTTGGATCTAAACACAGGTGGGACTGCCTTTTAAAACTGGTTTTATTCCCTAAAAACCTTACCTGTCCTCATCGTGGGGGATGATCAGAGTGCCATCAATGTTGGGCAGGCACCCAGTGTGTGTGGCTGACGGGATGGATGGTAACCACGCAGGGCAACATTTGAGGAAGAGGGTCGTATAAGGAGGTGGAGGTGGTGGGAGCTCCTCCACCTGAGATCTGCATTATGTTGGAAGCAAAGTGCTGCATGCAGAGGGGTTTCACCCGGGTGTGCAAAGCCCTCAGCACACCTGCGTTCTGCTATGTATTTTACTCATGAAAAATGTCAGTTATTTGGATGAGGCTGTCAGGATGAGAAATTTGATGACTGACCCACTTGACGACTTAAGATAGGATCCCCACAGAGTCTATGGGTCATGAGATTTGGCGGGAAGGCCTCTGAGCTGACCAGTCTCATCTAAGACCAGTTGATTGGTCCCATCTGGAGGGCATAGCTGGGGTAGGGTGGGGGTCAGAGCTGGGCTACAGCAGGACAAGAAGGCTGGGGCAGGGGAGACAGAGGGTCCCTGCGGATCTACTGTAGGGCAGGAGGTGATGGTGCTGTAGATGGCACTCAGTTTCTTTCCACTTTTTTTCTTTTTCTTTTTCTTTTTCTTTTTCTTTTTCCACTTAAGAAAAAGCTGTAATGAGACAGCCTATGGAACAGCAAGATTGATTGTGTCGTTCTGGCCTTTGAGGGAAGAAGGGGGAAAAAATCAAATTATCGGACAGGGTCCTTTTAAGAAGCTGCGGCTTTAATTTATTTTCTTATATTTTGTCAATAGCTGTTGTTTTTTTCTTAAACAAGTGCTGCACTTTATAAATGGATTTGCTTGGGCAAAACAAACACAGTCATTTCATACTTTTCCTTCCCTCTAAAACTTACTTAAAATACGGTGAGTGGCTAAGATGGACCCCCAGGGCCTGACCACCACTCAGAAAGGTGACCCGTGGCTTTAGAAAGACACCCGGCCCTGGGAGGCGGGACAGGAAGAGGGATGGATGCAGCAGCAGACCCGTGGCAGATAATCACTTCCCCGCCATGCAGCTTTTGGGGGCTCCAAAATCTCCTGGGAGAACTTTTTTGGTTTTTTTTGAGACGGAGTTTGTCTCTGTCGCCAGGCTGGAGTGCAGTGGCACGACCTCGGCTCACTGCAAGCTCCGCCTCCCGGGTTCAAGCGATTCTCCTGCCTCAGCCTCCCTAGCAGCTGGGATTACAGGCGCGCGCCACCCTGTCCGGCTAATTTTTGTATTTTTAGTAGAGACTGGGTTTCACCATGTTGGCCAGGCTGGTCTCCATCTCCTGACCTCGTGATCCGCCCGCCTCCGCCTCCCAAAGTGCTGGGATTACAGGCGTGAGCCACCGCGCCCAACCGGCAACATTTTTAAAGCACAGATTGCCCCACCCACCGGTGAAGAGTCTGATTTCCTGGGCCTGGAGGGTGGCCCCAGACTTGGGGTGTTTAAAGCTCAGGTGACTGGATAGTAAAGCAGCCAGGAAGCTCAAATTCCAGCCCCTCAGCCTGGCCTTCCTGCCACCCCTGGGCAGCCACGCTGCCCTGGTCCCCACTCCACCCCAAGTGCCCTGGACTCCTTCAGGGGCCCCCAGCTTCTGCACCTCTGCTTCCTTGGCCTGCAATGTGGACTCACCTTTTCAAGTGGTTGAGTCTCATCCACTTGATTATAATTCTGGGTAGTCATCACCATCCATTCATTCATTCATCACCATCATCATTCATTCAGCTGTTCATTGAAAATTTATTTATTCAACACTTTTATATGCCAGCCTTTATGTACCAGAGTAATATACAAAGATAAAAACAAAAAGAGAGAGTCCTTGGCCTCCAGAAGCCCGTGGAACAGCTGGGCCACAGTCTCCCTTGGCCTCTGCTGTGCCCCACGCAGAGCAGGGGTCTCAAGCCCCAATGTCCCCTGGGGTCTGGCGAGGCGCTGGGTGACTGAAGAGGGCAGCCGGGCCTTCTAAACGGGGCTGCCCCCCAGGTTTGCCTTGTGGAAGGCCACCCGGTGTCGACTGCCCGTTTTTCAGGAGAAGCCAGCAGTCCAAGTATTTCCATGAACCCTGGCTTTTTAATGTGACTGGTTTTCTTTAAATCCACCCTCCCTGGGGGCCACACGGAGCTTTTCTGCCTGGACCCTCTGCTGCCGGGTCCCCAGTCTCCAATCCTCGCGGATCCCAAAGGCGGAGCTCAGGCCCCGTGGCGCAGGAGCCATCCGGGTGGGCGAGGCCCTGACCGGATGCCTTCCCCCGGGACCCGGCTCGCTCCCCTCGCCCTGCAGCTCGGCTGAGACGCCTCCCTGAGACACCGCCCCGCGCCCGGGAGCCGGCCCAGGCGGGTGGGTGCCTTTCTCCGACAGCGGCGGCTCCCGGGAGGCGCACTCCACGCCGCTGGTTCTGCGGCCTCCAGTAATAAATTGCAGCGGAGGCGAGAGTTGAGCTGCAGGGCGGGAGGTGCGGGTTGAGGCTGGAGGCTGCGACTCGAACCCCGACAGGGGACAGCGAAGTGAAGCGGGGCGGATGGACGGACAGGCTGCGGGGTACGGGGTGCGGGGCGGGCAGGGAGCTGGACCCCAGTCCCATCCTCTGAGCTGCGGGGAGGCGCTAAGGCCGGAGCAGAGCGGCACTGCAGCCTGCAGGGGTCTAAACAGGGATCCCCTAGGTCCTCCACGGATTAAACAAGATGAAGCCTGAGCCTGGCCTCTCTCTTCCTCTGCACACCCAGTCACGTCCCCAGACCCTTAGCAGGACGAGCCTTGCTCACTCACGCTTGGCGTCCGAGATGCCTCGGATATGTCCTCCTCCCGGTGTTGACAGCCTCCTGCCTGGTAGCTGGCAGAGCCCCAGGGTGACAGGGAGAGGAGCTAGCCTGGCCCTGTAAGGAGTCTGGGGATCCCAGGCAGGGGGATGTTCGGAGGGGAGCAGTGGGGCCCACGGAGACACCCACTCATCAGGTCACCAGCCACCAAGACAGCCCCTCCTAACTCCTGTGGGAGGGGCCTGGACAGAATGGATGGGGGTAACTTAGAGTCCCCATGTGCCCCCACTGAGGCAGAATGTATGTCTTGAAGCAGAGGGGTCACCAGATTGGTCCTGGGACGTGACGGGGGACCCTGGTGGTCTAAGAGGGGCATGCGGCAGGGATGGATCCTGTACCAGGCAGGACGGAGGACTATGTGGAGCCAGTGTGGAAGGCAGAGACCCCTGGGTTGTGGGTGCAGCGTTGAGGTCACACAGATGTCTGGGGAGTTTGGCCCCACTCGAGGCCTTGACCCTTCCTGGGTCCCTCCTCCACCTGAGTGCAACCACAAATGGACCAAGAACACCCCAAAATGGGCCAAATTTATCCTGAATTTACTCTAATGGGGACTCAAGACAGAAATTAAGTTTTGTTTTAGAAAACCTTAGCAGGGATTTTGCACCCCCAAGATGGGTTTGTGACCTTGGAGACTCTGCCCCACACCAGGCACAGAGTTCTCAGTAGCATTCGGTGTCCAGGCAGGGACTGCTGAGCCTCTGCTCTGTGCTGGGCCCTGGCTTGGGAAGGAGCGCAACAAGGTCCCTGCTCTTGGCGGCTGATATCAGAGGAGGAGATGGTCAGTTAAAGTAGCTCAGGAGCTCATCTCGGATGGTGGTGAGTGCTGGGAAGAAACGCAGACATAGGGAAGGCCCTGGGACAGGACTGGGGACTGCTTTAAAGGGAGCCAAGTTGGCCTCTCTGAGTAGGGCCACTGGGCTGAGCCTCAGATGAGAGGAGCTGAAGGTGAAGGTCAGAGGAGAAGGCACCCCAGGGAAGTGAGCAGCAGGTGCAAAGGGCCTGGCAGGGGCCTGGGCCCAGCTTGGGGAGATCAGCAAGGAGGGGCCCACGGGCGCTCACTGCTCAGCTCAGCCATCTTGGCAGACAGCCAGCTTCCCTCGGCCAACAGTTCCAACAAGGGTGCAAGAATATAGCCCCATTGGCCAGGCCTGAAGCCAGAGGCCAGGGTCAGCACTGCCTAAACTACTGGGAGATGAAGGTTTCCCAAGTGAGAACCAGGAAGGAGAAAGATGTGGGCCAGGCAGACATGTGGAGCCCACCTTGTTTGGGGTGAGGACCGGAGGCTCCGATTGCTTAGGGAATATGCCCAGGAACCGGAAGTGGATTCTGGCTCTTAAGTCTGCTGACCACCGCCCAGTGCCTCCTCTGAGCCTTCCTCTGTCCCAGCCTCCTCCAGGCCTCTCCCTCTCCTCTGGCCACCAGGTCACCCAGGCACCCGGGACTGCCTCTTTCCTTCCTAGTCATCACTACCTGCCCTCCCAGCTCTTGCCTGCTCCTGGCAACATCCTCACCAAAGGGGGACTTGGGGAGCAGGAAGATAGATGGCTGTGTTCACCACTCACCCAGCCCTCTCTGTTCCCCTGACACCTACCCCCAGGAGGGAGAGCGAGGAGGAAATGCTCAGGTACACACCAGTGCCCATCACATGACCAGGGACGGGGAGGAAGAGCCACCCCACCAAAGGCTGCATTCACTGTCCCTCATTCAGCCCTGGATTGTGGGTGTGAATGTTCAGGCCACTCACGCAGGTGTGCCAAAACCACCACCTTACTTTCCTACTATATGCATGCTTCCTTTCCAACCTCCGTTTTCTACTGAGTAGCAGAAAAGTCTTGAGTTCAGTTCAGCTCTGTCAGCTTCAACTCAGAAGATTCAGGGCCCCCTCCCCCATCTCTTGGACCCCACAGATCCCAGCAAATATGGGTGACATCATAAACATCAGGGGAGGTGGCAGATGGGTCATCGGTCGATGTCATCCCTGCTGGCACCCCCAAGACATACACTGGGACATGTGGTTCTTGGCTGTCATCTCTGTTCCGAGTTGGCAGCCGATGAGCTGTCTGCGTCCCCATCTGGTCTCTGCTTGTAAGGGCCAAGCAAGTTTTGGCTGTGGCCTCCTCTTGTCACAACTGGGACTCCCTTCCAGGCCCTCCTTGAGAACTTGGCCGCTCCCTACAGGGCACTGGGGCTGGGGAGCTCGCTGGGCTGTCACAGGCCCTCTGTTGAGCCACCACCGCTCACTCCCTGTCTAGAGTCTCCTGGCCTTCTCAGGGCACAGGGCACCTGGGGACCTTGCCCCTCCCAGGAAATGAGGTTCAGCCCCACCAATCCCGAGATCAGAGCTGCAGCTGCCCCTGGGGGCTTATCCTTCCCCAGGCGTACCCCCACCCAGCCCAGGAGAGCCCTCTCCCTTAGTTCCTTATATTCTTCTGTCCTCCACAGCTAGACAATGTTTAACCTCATCTGTCCATGCTGAGGGGGAGACACATGCTGTGCAGAGAGCGTTCCAAATGTACTGCATGTGGTAGGACCTGGACTTTGGAAGCTCCACAGCTAAGGTTTCCCTTCTCTTGTTTCTCTGCTTCTCTGTGCAGCCTGCATCCCTCAAGGATAGGGCCTAGTTGTTGTGGTAGTGGGGAGTGTGACAGGAACAAAACGGCCCTCACTAGGGGTGACATCACAGTGCTACCCCCTGGAAAACTGGAAGTGGGGGCAGCCCTGGGGGGATGGGTACTACAGAACTGGGTGCCCCTCTCTGGGGCAGGTCCATGAAATCAGTGAGATGCCTGGTTGGGGACCCCCTGGCAGGGGCCAGGGAAAGCTGCCCTGTCACCCAGCAGCAAGTAGACATGGAAATCAGGACCTCTGACCCAGCAGTTGGTGAACAAGACCCCGGGGCTGAATTTGGGGTGGAGGAGCCGTGCGGGGCTGGGTCTGAGCCTCTGGAGTCCTCTGTTAGGTCCCTGCTGCTCTCCTGGGCGTTCAGGAAGGCTTTGTTAAGCCCCAGCAGTGACAAAGTGTGTTCAGGGACCCAAGAAAAAGGCTGTTCATATCAGAGCCAGGATGTATAAAGGGGTAGCGTTTGTCACAGGCCCCTCAGGGATGGGCGGTATCATCATCACACCCCAGGGGGGAGAGTGAAACTCAGAAAGCACTGGTATAGGTTTAATGCAAGCAGGAGTCCCTCGAAGGGCTCCCAGCTCAACGGAGGGGCTTGCAGATTCCAGGCGATGGGCTCATTGGTCTGGTCAGGCCAGGAAGTGTGACCTGGGCCCTGGCGGCCTCCCAGACTCTGAGCCACTCAGGAGGACCAATGGGATCAGTCAAGTGTCTTTAGGTTCCAAGTGACCAAAGCTCCCCTGGGACCGTCTTAATCATGAGAGGAAATTGCTGACTCACAACTGACTGTCAAGAGGAGGCCACTCCGAGTCCCCCTGGGGCTTTGCAGGAACCACTGGGAGGGGGACTCCGAGTTCCAAGGTCAGATCAGGAAGTGGCTGAAGCTGCTCGTGTGGCCGGGGTCAGACTGAGATGAAGCCAACACAGACTCCCGACAGTCCTGGAGCCCAGAGGTGCACCAAGCTAGCTCTGCCACCTGCTTTTTTTTTTCTTTTTCTTTTTTTTTTCTTGAGACAGGGTCTGGCTCTATCGCCCAGGCTGGAGTGCCGTAGCGCGATCATGGCTTACTGCAACCTCAAAGTCCTGGGCTTAAGTGATCCTCCTGCCTCAGCCTCCCAAGCAGTTGGGACTACAGGCACATGTCACCATGCCCAACTAATTTTTTAATTTTTTGTAGCGACAGGGGTCTCGCTATGTTGCCCGGGCTGGCCTCGAACTCCAGGGCTCAAGCGATCCTCCGACTTTGGCCTTCCAAAGTGCTGGGATCACAGGTGTGAGGCACCTCACCTAGCCCCACCTGCTTTTGAAGTTTCCTCAAAAAGCGACTCCTCCCACTAGGATGACTAGAATTTAAAAGTCAGATAATGTGTGTTGGTGAGAAGTGTGAAGTCAGAACCCTCACGCCCTGCTGGTGGGAATGTGAAGTGGCTGCGGCCCTGTGGAAAACAGTCTGGCAGTTCCTGAAACAGAGCCACCAAATGGCCCAACAATTCCACCCGTAGGTACACACACCCAAGAGAAATGAAAACATATGTCCACGTTGAAACGTGTACACGAATGTTTATAGCAATGTTATTCATAGTACAAATGCTCCTCCACTTACGATAAACCCATTCTAAGTTGGAAATAATCGTAAGTTGAAGATGCATTTAAGACATCGAACGTTCTGAATATCATAGCTCACCCTAGCCTATCTTAAACGTGCTCAGAGCATTGACATGAGTTGGGCAAGATCATCTAACACAAAGCCTTTTTTATTTTTATTATTTTTATTGTGTTTTTATTTTTGTTATATATTTTTTCGATTATTATTATTATTATTTTTTGAGATGGAGTCTCACTCTGTTGCTCAGGCTGGAGCACAATGGTGCGATCTGGGCTCACTGCAAACTCCACCTCCCGGGTTCAAGTCATTCTCCTGCCTCAGCCTCCCGAGTAGCTGGGACTACAGGCACGTGCCACCACATCCGGCTGTTTTTTGTATTTTTAATAGAGACAGGGTTTCGCCATGTTGGCCAGACTGGTCTCGAACTCCTTACCTCAAGTGATCCACCCACCTTGGCGGGTTTACAGGCATGAGCCACCGCACCCGGCCCCACAAAACCTTTTTTATAATAAAGCGTTGAACATCTCATGGCAGAATGCTCGCATGGGTGCTCAGAGTACAGTTTCTCCTGAATGGATGTGGCTTTCACACCACTGTAAGGTCAAAAACCATGAAGTCAAACCATCGTAAGTCAGGGGCCATCCGAAGTCAAAAAAAGGTGAGAATAACCTAAGTGTTCATCGACTGATGAATGAATGAACAAAATGTGGTGCATCGTTCGGCCTCAGAAGGAAGGAAGTGCTGGTTATAGGCCCCAGCGCACACGATCCCTGCAAACGTGGTGCTGAATGAAGGGAGCCCGGTGCAGAAGACCACACACCATGCGCGTGCTCTCCTGTGAGATGCCCGGACCAGGAAAACCTATAGCAACAGTGCGGAGATTTGTGATCGTGGAGATAGGGTGATAGCTAAAGGGTTTCTTTTGGAGGTGATGAAAATGCTCTAAATTGACCGTGATCAAGGTGGCACATATCTGTGAATATACTAAAAACCACTGAATTGTATACTTTAAGGGGGCAAATTGTATGGTATGTGGATTACATCTCAATAACACTTTTTTTTTTGTTTTGTTTGGCTTGGTTTGGTTTTTTTGTTTGTTTGGTTGTTTAAGAAACTCCTTCTAAGTCTTGCAGCTGGACTCTTAAGAGGGTTCCGGAACCTAAGAGTCTCCCAGGATAGAGAGCCCAGTTCCCACCAGGCCACCCGCCTCCTTCCCCCACCTGCTCCCATCACATCTCTGAGGGCTGGGACCAAGTGCCATCCCATGGTGGGGGATGGGGGGCCTGAGCAGGGAGCCTCAGCCCCATACCTGGTAGGCCTTGAGTTGTCTCCCATGCTCGGAGGGAACCCCCTCCCTGTCTCTGTGCTGCTGTCAGGGAGCCAGGGCCCCTGGAGGACTCTCTATGCCCATGCTCTGCACACCCCTGCCCTGTGCTGGCACCACCCAGAGACCTGAGTTTTGCCTTTACCCTGCCCCCTTGGCTGTGCTGGCGGGCTACCCTGCCAGCCACACCAAGTGCTGCTGGTTCTCACCCAGCCCGAGCCTGCAGCCAGCCTTCACATCCCGGGTCTTGCCCGTTTGCCCTTTGCGTGCCTCCCAGGAACCTCACCCACCCCCACCCAGTGGGGTTGCACCTGGAGCTCCAGGGGTCCCCTGGAGCTCTGTGGGTCCCGCCTTCCCACTTCTGCTCTGACACCCTGTCCAGCCAGGGCTTTGCTGTTCCCCTCTCTGCCACCAACTTGCTGCCCAAGACGACCTCATGGGGAACCTTCGTGCAAGAACAGCTGCGCGCTTCCCCTCGCGGTGGCCAGCTGGCTGCAGCCCCACCACAGACACTTTGGACAGCAATGGGACAGTGTCTCCTCCAGCTGAAAATGCACCCCTCCCCACCGGAGAGTTCACTGCTCACCTGCCCTCAAGAAAGCCTTGCCCAGACCCCTCGAAGCATTCTTTGTCATTGTGAAAAGCTGGAAGCCACCCAAGGGTTCATCGGGGGGCACCGGGGGCTACAGCACAGGACAATCACAGACAGGAGCACCCCGGACAGCTCCAGGAGTGACCCAGACCCACACAAGGCTCAAAAATATGTCCAGTGAGAAAAACCAAGGAGCTGAATGAGACAGCGTGACACCTTTTAAGAAAGGGGTAAAGGGCCAGGTGTGGTGGCTCATGCTTGTAATCCCAGCACTTTGGGAAGATGGCTTGAACGCAGGAATTCAAGACCAGCCTGGGTTGTGAATACAGGGAGACCCCGCCTCTACTAAAAATGAAATTAGCCGGTGTGGTGGTGCACACCTGTAGTCCCAGCTACTCTGGAGGCTGAAGCAGGAGGATCACTTCAGCCCAGGAGGTCAAGGCTGCAGTGAACTGAGAGCACACCACTGCACTCCAGCCTGGGCCACAGAGTGAGACCTTGTCCCAAAAAACAAAAAAAAAAAAAAAAAAAAAAAAAGGGAGGGGGATGGTGGGGTGGGAATTCACAAAAGAGTATTACCTCTTTTAAGGCATCTTTATATATTTGTAAAATCAAGAGGAAAAAATCTTAACAGTTGTTACTTCTGGGAAGGGTAGAGGGCGCTGGGATTGGGGCTGATGGTCACAGGGTCTTTACCTGTGATGTTCTAGTGTTTTCAAAAGGAGAATGGATCCTTGTATGACACGTGTAATTTATCATAACCCAAGAAAGACAAAGAATTCCAACAGCTGGACCACATGCCCCTTGTGCCAGCCTCATTGCTGTTTCCCTCAAGGACCCTCCTGGCTCCCTGAAGCCCCCCCGCCCCATGCCCCGCCACACCCCCTGTCTCGCCCCCCACCCCTCACGCCTCCCTCAGTCCTCTGCCTCTCAATGGACCTAGAGCTGGAGGCTGTTAGATCTTCCATTTAAAACTCCTCTCTGTGCCCGCATTGGGGAGTTTCTTATTCCCTTTCAGATGTAACTGTCTGTCACCAATAATAGTCTTTTTCGATTTCATTTCCTTCAGCTCCTGCCAGCCACTCTGAGAGCCTCCTTCCCATCCCTGCTGCCCCCCCCAGCCCCAAGTCAAGGGAAAAAAATACATTTTTGCCTTTACTATGATGTATGCGATCCCATAAAATAGTGAAACAGATATGAAAGGTTGAGAGAAGGTAGATAAATGGCTCCTATTATTCTACCAATCAAATGAAATACCTCTCCACGTCCTCATTTGAATGATAATAAAACTCGGAGAGGCTGCTGGTTCGCTGTTGTCATTGCTGCCAGCAGCCTTGAGCCGCGGAGCCACAGGCCAAGGTAACCTTGGGGTGTCCTCTGCAGGACCTGCAGGGGCCTGCATACCCCCTACCCCATCTCCTCGCCTCCCCACTGCCTGCCCCGCACAACAGCTCTTCCCCAACCCCACCCTCCCCTTCCTGCCGCACCCCCAGGTCACCTCTGTTTGCCCAGGCCCCTGCTCCCTCCAAGGTCCACAGGGTAGAGCCAGGGCCCAAGAATCAAAACCCAGGGTCTCTCACGCAAGGAATGCCCTCCTTTCTGCCACAGCCTTGGCCCTACACTGCTCAGCCTTCCTGGCCTCCTTTGAAAGCCCCTGCCTGCCGTCCAGGTGGGTCGCCTCTTCGGGCATTCCCCAGCCCTTGCCACACACCTCAGTGACTGGACGGTAGCCTTGTGTGTGCCAGGTCTCTGCAGCTCTCTTCTAAATTCCTAGCAGGTGGGGCCAGGTGGGACTGCCAAGGCCCATGTGCTGGGCTTCTTTCGTCCCACGTAAACTTCACAAGTGTCCCCCGTGTGGAGACGCTGGATCAGAGAACAGGTGGGAAGTCCTTCCCTGGGCTGGCCACTGGGTAGGTGCCGGCCACTTCTGAGGCTCACAGTGCCGAAGCCTTCTGCTGTTTCTGCCCCTTGGAGTTCACAGTTCTGTTTCCCATGCATTTGAGTGCTTCCGGCAAGCCTCACCTGACACCACTCTCCCACTCCACCCAACCAGGGGACACTTAGGACTTTTTCCTTCCCTGCATTTCCCCCACATTTCGGGGAGCCCACTGCAGGCCAGCTTGGCAGCCTGCCAGTCATGAGACCCACCCTCCACCCTGGTGGGTACTCACCCCTCTGTGCAATTTTGAATCTCAGCAGGATTTCTTATCTGAGTGGCCACACCCTAAAGAGACTTTCCTTCAGTTCTCACCACCCAGCTCCCCAGCGTGGCCCTGACTTCTGCCCTTTCCTTCCAATTAATTCCCCCTTGCATTAAGGCAGTCAAAGTCAGGCCGGGCACTGTGGCTCACACCTGTAATCCCAACACTTTGGGAGGCTGAGGCAGGTGGATTATTTGAGGTTAGGAGTTCAAGACCAACCTGGTCAACATGGTGAAACTCCATCTCTACTAAAAATACAAAAAAAAAAAAAAAAAAAAAAAATTAACCAGGTGTGGTGGCAGGTGCCTGTAATCCCAGCTGCTTGGGAGGCTGAAGCAGGAGAATCACCTGAACCTGGGAGGCAGTTGCAGTAAGCCAAGATTGCACCAGTGCACTGCAGCTTGGGCAACAGAGAGAGACTCTGTCAAAAAAAAAAAAAAAAATAGTAGTCAAAGTCAGTTTTTGGTACCAGGACTGGCCAAAACATGGACAATGCCCCAAGTTGGTCCCCAGAGCATTGGGACTTCCTCTGTCATCTCCAAGATCTGCAACAGTGCATCTGCCTCTCCTCCATCAGGGCAGGGGCCTGTCTGGGCCCCTCTCCTCCCCTGATTTCCAGCCTCAGGGACAGTGCCGGGACCCACAGGAGATGGGGTCAATGACAATGAATGAAACTGTGGAAATGGTACCCATTTTAGAGATGAGGAAGATGAGCCCCAGAGGACAAGCAACAACTCAGCACCCAGATCTTCGTCCTCGTTCCCCGGACCTGGGGCTCTTCCCTCTGCATCAGTTGCTGTCAAGTACCAGGCTGTCCCCAGTCCAGGGCTTCCTTGAGCCAACAGATGGGCAGGAGGTGGAGTCCAGGGGAAGAGCCTGCTAAGAGACAAGCTGGTGCTGAGGCCTCAGGGGCTCGAGGGAGGGGAGCATCCACTGTGGCATGCAGGGATCGCTGAGCGCAAGCAACGGAAAGCTTCTGCGAGGCTTTGGGAGGTTGTCAGGCAGCTCACTGGATGGCTGGGACACAGAAACCTGGAAAGGGTGCAGAGCAAAGGCTGCCTAGAGCCTGCTCTGGCCATTTCTCAGTCCCTGTGTCAGTTCTCTGCACAGGGATCAAAGCCCCACCATAGAGAAGGGCCAGACAAGCCAAGCCCTCAGCATGTGGAGCTCCTCCAGAGAGTGTAAGGCCTTGGTGGCAGCTCATCCCCTGCAAATGCTAGAGGAGGATGAGCCCCCAAAGCAAAAGCCGGTGGCGTCACCTCCAGCAGGGGAATGTATTCAGGGCAGCTGAAGCCCTAGAAGCCAGCCAGCCAGCCCACCCAGCCTGTCAGTCTTGGCTGTAGCCCTGCTCAGCCTGTGAAGGGCTGCAGTGGGGCTGGGGTGCAGCCCGCTGCTGTGGCTCAGGCCCCATAATCACAGGCTTGGAGCTCAGGGATCTCAGAGGGGACTGAATCTGCACTTTGCAGCTGAGGACCTCTAGGCCCCTGGAGAGGCAATGACAGAGCCAAGGCCCTCCCACCCACCATGGGGCCACTCTGAATAGGGACCCCCAGGCCTCCCCCAGGGAAGAGATTGTGCGCCAGTGCCAGTTGCTGTGAGCCATGTGATATTCAGCAGGCCACCATAGCTCTGCTCCGAGCCCAGCTCCTTATGCATAAAATGAGGCTGCTTTGCAGGGCTACTGCAAGCATTAAGCAAGTAATAAATGTATGTGCTCCTAAGCTGACACTTAGAATGGAAATGAAAACATATGTCCACACATGGATTTGTACACGAAAGTTCACAGCAGCTTTGTTCATGATCACCAAAAACTGGAAAGAACCCAAATGCTCCATCAACTGCTGAGTGAATGGAGAAGCTGGCGTAGCCCCACAATGGAATACTCCTCAGCAACAAAAAGAACAACAGGGATGAATCTCAGCAGCGTCATGCTAAGTGACAGAAACCGGACTCAAAAGGTGGCATCTGTATGACTGCATATATGACCGGCTCTCATGCCTGGCAGTAATGTTCTGTGACATTCCCGGGAACACTGAATTCACTGGTATGGAAGCATTGCTCCCAGGGAAATGCAGAGTTAGGTTCCTGAGATCCTCTGCTCACAAGATTTTGGTCACCTGACCAATGCATACATCTGTGGCATGTGTTCTTATGTTTAAAGACACCTTATTTAATATAGAGGCTGTTGATCTGTGAGCATGAACTCATGGCCACAGAACTATAACTCATGACTGAGCAAAGCTCATCCAACACATGCATTTTCTCTGTAAGACACATCGCAGCCTTCTAGCATCAAGGAGCACCAGCCAGGGCCTCACTCTGATGCTTGAGGGCCATTTTCAACAGCGAAATCCCCAACAAAAAGTACAAAAATGCGGGAAAGGTGGCCCTGAGTAGACGGGGGAAAGTCGCTCGTTGAGTTTGACCTCCGCAGGAAATGTGTGCATCCACAAACGAAACTTCTCAGTGCTCTGCTGATGTCCAGGAATGATCACAAAAGTGCCACGAGGATTGATCTGGGGGTTACAAATAAATTTTTGCAAGTCATCAACTTCACAAATATGGAATCCGTGAATACTGAGGATTGACTATATGCAAAACTTTAGAGAAAAAAATAGAAATCTAACCCGCAGTGACAGAAAGCAGCTCAATGTTTGTTTGGCAGCAGGGTAGGAGCAGAGATTGACATAGAAGGACCACAGGGCACCTTCTGGGTGATGGAAATGTTCTCTATCTTGGTGGTTACACAGGGGAATAAATTTGTAAAACCCACTGAAATATGCACCTAAAGTGTGGAGACTTCGATGTATGTAAATTAGACTCAATAAATTGACTTTACAAAAACTCCTTAGCATGATGCCTGATCATTCCTCCACTCCTCTAGGGATCTCGGGATCAGCTCCCTTGGGAGGGGCGCTATGGGACAGAGGAAGAAGCTTGGGCTCCATCTGGAAGTGGTTTGCATCTCGCCCCCACCCCCGAGACAGGGCATGTCTGACCCAGGCCTTCAGCTTCTCCCTTCTTTCCCACTATGTCCATCAGGACTTTCAGTTGAAGATGACAGAAACCCAGCTCGGACCCCCTTAGACAAAACAATGGCTCTGCCATAAGATATGGCTACACCTACAGCTCAAGTGCCATCACCAAGCCAAGGTTGCCCACCTTCTCTGGACTCTATGTTTCTCTGTCAGCCTCACTCTGGGACCACAGGCAGGAAGGTGGTCACCAACAGCTTTTAGAACTCCAAGGGAGGGAGCGGAGCCTCTCTGTCCCAGTGAGGACCCAGGAGCAGGCATCCTTTGTGCCTCTCCACAGCCAAGGCCATGGAATGTGCTGATGTCAGGCCTGGGTCCTATGCCACTCCCTTTGGAGAACAGAAATCAAGGAGGGAGGGATTCTCCCCAAAGGAAAATCTAGGTGCCGCCACCAGAAGCTGGGGGAGAGATGGGGACCAGGCAGATGCAGTAGGTACCCGACACACAGCTTGCCCTGAGCCGGGGCTACCTTTCCTGAGTGTGTCATAGACACATCAAGAACCCAAACCTGGCAGGGAATAAACGAGAAGTGGGAATTAAACTCAATATTCTAGAACCCCATGGAAAACAGCAACATATTCTGACGTTCAGTATCCCAGGGCAAAGAGTGAAAAGACTTCCTCTTCTCCCTGCAGCTCCCCCTGGCTGGAAGACACCGCCTGGCTTGTTCCCCCAGCCCCGTGCTCCCACTTCAGAATCCAGGGGCCATTGAGTCCTCTGCCACAGAGACCCCACCGACCCAAACATCATGCCCCTGATTTTGGATCAACACCAATTATTTTGAAAACAATTTTCCTGGCATCCCAAGGGCTCTCTCATGCTTCTCTGGTCTTATCGTGCTTCTATCTTTTTGGCAGGTCCATGACCAATGGAACTTCTTGACGACCACTGAATATTTCAGACTTTAGCTACTAAAGGATCCATTCTGCTCTGTTACCTTCAAGAACCTTCTTTAAGGATACAATGAATTTTCCTCCAATTTAATAAAATTTATTAGGTATCTGCTTAATTGGAAACAAGAGGACAGAGATGGTTCCTGCCCTTGTCTCCTCCCTGCTAATTTTTATCCTTCTTATTTATTTTCTTGTGTTACTGCATTGGCTAGGACTCTATGACGGTGCTGAATTGTAGCACTGAGTCAGCATCCTTGTCTTGTTCCTGCTGCTGATGTTTCAACATGAAGTATAAAGTTTCTTCCATATGTCTGATATGTGCCCTTTATCAGGTGAAAGAAATTTCCTTTTATTTCTAGTTGCTAAGAAATTGTGATTTTTCTTTTTTTTTAGACAGAGTTTTGCTCTAGTCTCCCAGGCTGGAGTGCAATAGTGCGATCTCGGCTCACTGCAACCTCCGCCTCCCAGGTTCAAGCGATTCTCCTGCCTCAGCCTCCTGAGTAGCTGGGAATTACAGGCATGCGCAATCATGCCCAGCTAATTTTTTTTTTTAAATAGAGGCGGGGTTTCATCATGTTGGACAGGCTGGTCTTGAACTCCTGACCTCAGGTGATCTACCTGCCTCAGCCTTCCAAAGTGCTGGGATTACAGGCGTGAGCCACCACGCCTGGCGATTTTTTTTAAATTATAAATTCCTGCTGTAATTTATCAAATGTTTTTTCAAGATCATATTTTACTAGTATCTGTAATCCAAACAGTATTCTATTTCTTTCCTCTGACAAAGGGACGAGTCTGCTGTGGTCCTTTCATGTGAGACCCTCCCCTGGTTTGCCAGCGCCTGTCCCGTGAGAGTCCAGGGCACGCCTCAGCCCACAGGATCTGTGGCAGCAACATCCAACTTGGGTATTTGATAGCGAGGTCAGCACCTATGACAAAAATCAAAAGAACAGTCAAGATCACCCTTGAAAATTGCTTAAATTGCCCATAAAAAAATACGTGGGTTTTAGGTCTCAGGCCCTGAAAGAATTCTAGAGCGTCCCTGCCTGCTGGGCTGGCTGCCTCCTGCTTCAGTACTGAGCTTTATTGTATAACTTTAAGCTCAGGCCGGGCGCCGTGGCTCACGCCTGTAATCCCAGCACTTTGGAAGGCCAAGGTGGGAGGATCGCTGGAGTCCAGCAGTTCGAAATAAGCCTGGGCAACATAGTGAGACCCCATCTCTACTAAAAAAAAAAAAAAATGAGTCAGGCATGGTGGCACCTGCCTGTGGTCCCAGCTACTCGAGAGCCTGAGGTGGGAGGATCACTTGAGCCCAGGAGTTTGAGGTTGCAGTGAGCCATGATCTCACCACTGCACTCCAGCCTGGGCAACAGAGCAAGATCCTGTTGCAAAAAAACAAAAACAAAAACTTTAACACTCATGAATAGGTTTCTTATTTGCTGGGAGCTGGGTTCTCAAGTCAGCTAGAAGTGGGACGAGACAGGTCACTGAGCCATGCATGCAGCAGGGGCCGGATAGCCTCTCCTAGAGTGGCCAGGAAGGCCTCTTTGTGTCCTCTGCATCTGGCCAAGGATGGCCCAGACTCCCAGGGCCTCCCCACTCCCATTTGCAGGCACAGTGATCAGGCAGTGATGGAGTCTTCCCAAGCCTGGCTTCCCTTGGGTCCTCAGGCCAAGTTGAGCCAGACAGGACCTCACTCTCAGCTTTTGTGTATGGTCCACACCACTTAGGAAGGGGGTCCCGCCCACTGACCCCTTAGACCTGGCTCTGGCCTTGACTGTGACTTTCCTTGCTTTAATGCCACCCATTTCTCAGCTCATCTCTTCCTCACAGGCCACACTGCAGCCGCAATGGCCCCTTCTTTTTCCTGAAATGCCCGAGCCCATTCCTACCTCAGGACCTTTGCACTGCCTGTTCCCTTTGCCTGGAATGATTTTTTTCCTCACCACACAGGTTTTAGCCCACATGCTGCCTCCTCAGACAGACGTCCCTGGAAATCTTCTTCAACTAGCACCTCTGTTCCATCACCCTGTCACATAACCGTGTTTACTTTCTTCTGAGCGTGTATCATCATCTATGCCCCCCATCCCTGGAAGAAGATCTTGACTGTCTTGGCCACTTCATATGGGTACCAGTCCTTGGCATAGTGCCTGGTGCATAGTAAGCACTTGGTGTTGGTTGACTGACTAAACAATGGCATCCTGCCTGCCCCATGCTGCCAGGTTCAGCTCCGGAGTGTCTCCCTCCCTCCCCGACACTGACTCCCCTCCAACACTGCCTGCCTAACCTTGGGGTCCCGATGCTCATAGCCTTCCTGGATGCCACCCCAGAACTCCAGTTCCACTTCCTAGACTGGGCCCTATCCCCACGGCCTGCTCCCACCCCCATGAGCAGCTGAATTCCAGAGCTCCCCGCCTCCGCGCCGCATCCCCCTGTCTGATCATCCTGCCCCAGGACCCAGGTTGGCCAGCGGTCGAGGCAGCTGCAGGCGTCCCAGCTGCATGCGGGGCCTGGCTCTGCACATCTCCATCTGCCCACCTCTCCGCCCTGTGTGGGCCACCGGACGACCGTCCCTCGGCAGCACCTCCCGCCCCATTCATCCCCATTAGCCGCTGTCCACACTGGGCCTGAGGGAGATCAATTCCCAGCGCCAGCCACTGAGCCGTGTTAATGAGGATGTAAGCGCCCCTGCAGCTGGGGTGGGTGGGAGGGGCAGGAGGAGCCCAGGACACGGAGCAGGCCATGGGGGATTCCTCACTGAATGCTGGGGGTCAGGCTCCCTCTGGGGATGCTGGAAGATGCCCCCTGTAGGGCGGAGACCTTCTCCCAGCCCTCCCCCAGGAACTGCAGTTTAGCTCAAGCAGAGAAAGAGAGCAGAGGAAGAAACCTGGCTGGGGCTTAGGGACCAAAGGAGCAGGAGCCATGTGGCTTACTGTTGAGCAGAGGGGCCAGGCCAGGTACTCCTGCCTCCCACCCGTCTGAGCATTTCCTCAGGCCGGTCCCTCCACCAGGAGCACCCTCCTTGCCTCTACCCAACACACCACCGACCTGCAAGACTCCCAGACCACCAGCTCCCTTACCTCACACAGAACCACTCCAGCCCGGGGGCTCCCCACCCCTTGGAGCTCACTCTGGTAATTCTGACTATGCCAAATCGTACTGATCTGCATGAACACACGCTCAACCTCTCTCATAGGAGCCGTGCAAAGGAGAACCACAAAGAGAAACCATTTTCTTCCAACAGATTGACAAAGATGAACCAGGTGGGTGAATGCAGGGGGGACTCCGGCTGCTGCCAGCGGGAGGGCAAGGGTTCTGCCCAACGGTATCTGTGGCACCGTAAATCAGTATGACCTCTTCCGAGGGCAATTTGGCAACAGCTATGTAAATTAGAAATGCAGCTGCCCTTTAACCTAGCAATTCACTTCCAAACATTTATCCCACAGAGATACAAGTGCCCAAAGATAGAATCCAAGGGTGTTTCCTGCCTAGAAACCTCCTGCATGTCCAAGAGGATGGGCTGAGTCAGTCGGGCAGTGTCCACCCAATGGGGCACTCCTGGCTTCCTCGCCTGTGCAGCAAGACCAGCAGGTGCCTGTCCCTTGAAT